>NC_000001.11:207275496-207427011 GCF_000001405.40 Homo sapiens
ATCCATTTCTTCTAGGTTTTCTAATTTTTTGACATATAGTTGCTCATGTATCTAATGATCCTTTGAATTTCTGTACTATGAGTTGTAATGTCTCCTTTTTCATCTCTGATTTTTTTTTATTTGGGTCTTCTCTCTTTTCCTCTTAGTCTGACTAAAGGTTTGTTGATTTTGCTTATCTTTTCAAATAGCTAACTTCTCATTTCATTGATATTTTGTAATTTTTATTTCAACTTCATTTATTTCTGCTCTAATCTTTATTACTTATTTTCTTCTATTAACTTTGAGTTTGGTATGCTCTTCCTTTTTCAGTTCTTTAAGATGCATTATTAGGTTGTTTCCTTCTTTTTTATGTAGGTACTTATTGCTATAAACATTCCTCTTAATACCGCTTTTGCTGCAGCCCATAGGTTTTGGTATGTTGTATTTCTATTTTCATTTGTCTCAAAAAATTTTTAAATTTCCTTCTTAATTTCTTCTTTGACTCACTGGTCATTTTGGAGCACAATTTTGGAGCACAATTTCCAAATGTTGATATCGTTTTCAAAATTCCTCTTGTTTTTTATTTCTAGTTTTATTCCATGTGGTCAGAGAAGATACTTGATATGGTTTCAATTTTTTTTGAATTTTTTAAGACTTATTTTGTGGCCTAACATATAATCTATCCTTGAGAATATTCCATGTGCTGAGGAGAAGAATGTGTATTCTTTAGCCATGGGATGAAATATTCTGTAAATATCTATTAGGTTGATTTGATCTATAGTGAAGATTCAGTCTGATCTTTGTTGATTTTCTATCTGAATGATCTGTCCAATGCTGAAAGTGGGGTGTTGAAGTCTCCAGCTGTCATTGTATTGGAGTCTATTTCTCTCTGCAGCTTTAATAATATTTCCTTTATATATCTATGGGCTCCAGTGTTATATTCTCTTGCTGAATCGACCCCTCTATCAATATATAATGACCTTCTTTGCCTTCTTTGTCTCTTTTCATGGTGTTTGCCTTGAAACCTATTTTATCTGATATAAGTATAGCTACTCCTGCTCTTTTTTAGTTTTCATTTACACCGAATATCCTTTTCCATCCTTTTATTTTCAGTCTATGTGTCTTTATAGCTGAAGTGTATTTCTTGTAGGCAGCAGGTGGTTGAGACTTGTTTTTTATTTCCATTCAGCCATTCTATGTCTTTTGCTTGCAGAGTTTAGTCCATTTACATTAAATGTTATTATGGATAAGTAATGACTTACTACCTCTATTTTAAAAAATTGTTTTCTGTTTTTTCTGTGGTCTTCTTCTCCTTCCTTCCTGTCTTCCTTTCTGTGAAAGTGATCTCTGGTGGTAGGTTTTAATTTTTTGCTTTGTATTTTTTGTGTCTCTATTGTAGGTTTTTTGATTTGAGGTTACCAGAGGCTTTCAAATAACATCTTCTAATCAATTATTTTAAAGTAATAAAAACTTAACATTGACTGCAAAAAACTAATAAGCGAAGAGAAAACTAATAAAAATTCTACACTTTAACTTCATTCCCTGACCCCCACTTTTTAACTTTGTGCTGTTTCTATTTATATCTTATTACACTGTCTATATCTCAAAAAGTTATAGTTATTATTTTTGATAGATACATCTTTTAGTCTTCCTACTTATGATTAGTTTATACACAATTGTAGTGTTATAATATTCTGTATTTGTCTGTTACTATTTCCAGTGGGTTTTGTACCTTCAGATTATTTCCTTTTATTTGTTTACTTCCTTTTCTTTCAGATTGAAAAGCACCCTTTAGCATTTCTTGCAGGACAGATTTGCTGGCGTTGAGGAAATCCTTCAACTTTTGTTTGTCTGGGAATGTATTTCTTCTTCAGATTTGAAGTATATTTTCCCTAGATATGCTATTCTAGGATAAAAGTTGTTTTCCTTCAGCACTTTCAATGTGTCATGCCACTCTCCCCTGGCCTGTAAAGTTTCCACTGAAAAGTCTACTGCCAGACATACTGGAGCTGCTTTATATGTGATTGGTTTCTTTTCTCTTGCTACTTTTAGAATCCTTTATCCTTGACCTTTGGGAGTTTGATTATTAAATGTCATGAGGTAGTGTTTTTTGGATTAAATCTGCTTGGTGTTCTATAACTTCTTGAGTATTGATATGTTTCTCTAGATTTGGAAAGTTCTCTTACTATTTCTCTGAATATAAACTTTCTACCCTGATCTCTCTCTGTATCTTCACTTTAAGTCCAGTTACTTTTAGATTTGCCCTTCTGAGGCTATTGCCTAGATCTTGTAGGCATGCTTCATTCTTTTTCTTTTTTCTTTTTTTTTTTTGACAGTCTTTCTTTGTCACCCAGCCTGGAGTGCAGTGGCGCGATCTCGGCTCACTGCAACCTCCGCCTCCCGGGTTCAAGAGATTCTCCTGCCTCAGCCTCCCAGGTAGCTGGGACTACAGGCATTTGCCACCACAGCCACCTATTTTTTTTTTTTTTTGTATTTTCAGTAAAGATGGGGTTTCACCGACTTAGCCAGGATGGTCTCAATCTCCTGACCTTGTGATCCACCTGCCTTGGCCTCCCAAAGTGCAGGGATTACAGGTGTGAGCCACCATGCCTGGCCACTCTTTTTTTTTTTTAATCTCCTCTGATAGTGTACTTTCAAATAGCTTGTCTTCAAGTTCAGTAATTCTTTTTTCTGCTTGATGAATTCTGCTGTTAAGAGACTGATGCATTCTTCAATATCTCAATTGAATTTTTCAGCTCCAGAATTTCTACTTATTAAAAAACTATTTCAGGCTGGGCATGGTGGCTAACGCCTGTAATCTCAGCACTTTGGGAGACCAAGGCGGTGGATCACTTGAGGTTGGGAGTTCGAGACCAGCCTGACCAACATGATGAAACCCCATCTCTACTAAAAATACAAAATTAGCTGGGCGTGGTGGTGTGCACCTGTAATCCCAGCTACTCAGGAGGCTGAAGCAGGAGAATCACCTGAACCCAGGAGGCAGAGTTTGCAGTGAGCTGTGATTGCACCATTGCACTCCAGCCTGGGCAACAAGAGCTAAACTCCACCTCAAAACAAATAAACAAACTCTTTTATTCTTTTCATTAAATGTATCTATTAAGATTCAGAATTCCTTCTCTGTTTTCTTGAATTTTATTGGGCATCCTTAAAACAGCTATGTAGAATTCTCTGTCTGAAAAGTCACATATCTCTTTGACTCTGAAATTGACCCCAGGTGCCTTATTTAGTTCCTTTGGTGAGGTTATGTTTTCCTGGATGGTACTGATGCTTGTGGATGGTTGTTGATGTCTGGGCCTCCAATAGTTAGGTATTTATTCTAATCTTTGCAGTGTTGGCAAAGATTAGAATATGATGGATGCTTGTACTCATCCATCCCTCTTGACAAGGCTTTCCAAGTATTCAAAGAGAATTGAGTGTTGCGATGTAAGTCTTTAGTCATTGCAGCCATATCTGCATTATGGGGCACCCCAAACCCAGTAATGCTGCAACTCTTACAGACTTTTAGAGTACTGCCTCAATCATCTTGGGTAAGATCCAGGATAATTACTTGAATTACCAGGCAGAGTCTCTTCCCTCACTTTCCCCCAAACAAACAAGAGTTTCTTTCTCTTTGTGCTGAGCTGCCTGGAGTTAGGGGAGGGGTGATGCAAGCACCCCTGTAGCCACCAGCACTGGGACTGTACTAGGTCAGACCTGAATTCAGCACAGTACTGGGTCTTCCTCAAGGCCTGTGGTGACTATTGCTTGACTACCATTGATGTTTATTCAAGGCCCAAGGCTCTTTAGTAAGCAGGTGGTGAATCCAGCCAGGCTCGTATCATTCCCTTCAGAGTGGCAGGTTCCCTTCTGGCACAGAATGGGTCTAGAAATGCTGTCTAGCAGCTATAGGACCTGGAGTCAGGAGCTTTAGGAATTTACTTGGTGCTTTATTTGTGCTGTGGCTGAGCTGTTACCCAAGTTACAAGGCAAAATCCTTTTTACTCTTCTCTCTCCTTTCCTCAAGCAGAAAGAGTCTCTCCCCATGGCCACCACAGCTGAGAATGAACTGGGTCACATGGTACTGGGTCTTGCCCAAGGCTTTTGGTAAATACTGCTTGGCTATCCCCGATGTTAATTCAAGGCCTAGGGCTCTTGTCCGCAAGTGATGAATTCTGCAAGGACTGGGTCCTTCCCTTCAAGGAAGCAGGTTCCCTTCTGCCCCAGAGTGCGTCTAGAAATGTCATCCAGGAGCTAGATCCTGGAATGGGGACTTCAGGACTCTGCCTGGTGCTTTATTTTACTGTGGCTGAGCTGGTATCCCAGGCATAAGACAAAGTCCTCTTTACTTTTCTGAAGCTGTGAGCTGCACTGCCTGGAGTTGGAGGAGGGTGACACAGCATTCCCTTGGCCACCCCAACTGGTGTCTCACTAGGTTACATATACCCTGTGTCCATTGGCTCTAAGCCCATCACAGCACCAGGACTTGCCCAGGAATTGCAGTCCTTTTGGCCTAGACTGCCTTTCAGATTTATTTGGAGCCCAGAGCCCTTTAACTCACAGTGATGAGACTTGCCGGAACTCAAGGTCTGGCCACTGGGATGGAAGAGTCCCCTCTGGCTAGGGCTTGTCTAAATGCTTCCCCCATGAGCACCAGCTGAATTTCACCCTGTGTTGCCTTCTGCTGTAACAGGGCAGCTCTGAGTTTTAATGCAAAATCCCACAGTAACTGTGCTCTCCCTCCTCCACACACCATGTGGCTGCTGCCTGAAGAAGGGGATGAAGGAGGGGTGGTGTAGACAATTTGAATGTCTGTCCCATACACGTGGCCAGGAAGCATATGAAAAAATGTTCAACATCACTAATCATTACAGAAATTAAAATCAAAACCACAATGAGATGTCATCTCACACAAGTCAGAATGGCTATCATTAAAAAGTCAAAAAATAACAGATGCTGGTGAGATTGTGGAGAAAAGAGAATATTTATACACTGAGAGTGGGAATGTAAATTAGTTCAGCCACTGTGGAAAGCAGCTTGGCGATTTCTCAAAGAACTTAAACCATGCAACCCAGGAATCCCATTATTGGGTATATATACAAAGGAATATAAATCATTCTACCATAAAGACATATGCACACATATGTTCATCGCAGCACTATTCACAATAGCAAAGACTGGAATCAATCTCAATGCTCATCAATGGTAGACTGGATAAAGAAAATGTTATATACCGTTGAATACTATGTAGCCACAAAGAAGAACAAGATCATGTCCTTTGCAGCAACATGGATGGCGCTGGAGGGCATTGTCTTAAACAAACTAATGCAGGAACAGAAAGCCAAATACCACATGTAGATCACTTTCTGTGAGCTAAACATTGACTACACATGGAAACAAAGAAGGGAACAATAAATCCTGGGGCCTACTTGAGGGTGGAGGGTGGGAAGAGAGCAAGGATCAACAAACTCTATCGGATACTATCCTTATTACCTGAATGGTGAAATAATCTGTACACTAAACCCCTGTGACATGCAATTTACCTATATAACAACCTGTACATGTACTCCTGAAAGTAAAAGTCAAAAAAAAAACCAAAACTGTCTTTCCTACCCTCTTCAATGCCTATTTCCTTGATAGGATGTTAAAACCTGTTGCTGAGATTGCTCATCTGATTTTTGATTTTCATGAAGGTGCTTTCTTGTGTGCATAGTTGTTCAATTTGGTGTTCCTGTGGAGGGGGAAGATCATTGGAGGGTCCTATTCAGCTATCTTGCTGTGCTTCCTCTCAGAACCACTTTCTTGCTTGCTCCTGCCACACCGGCCTTTCCTGTCCTCAAAATTGCCCAGCACTTTCCTGTCTCAGGCACTACGTACATGCTATTGCTCCTGTTTTGTACTCACTTTCTTCTCTCACCTGGTTAATTCCTACCCATCCCTCACACCTTAGCTTCAATGCCACTTCCTCAGAGGGCACTTCCATGATGCCCCTAATCGACAATTGGTTCCTCATTATTCTCTCTTAGTATTCTTCATAGAGCCTCATTTGTAATTTATTTTGTAATTACATATTTATTTGTACATTTGCTTGTTTATATGGCTCTTCTGTTAGACTGTGAATTTCATGAAGGCAGACATCCTGTCTGGTTTCTTTCTGAGCCACATCCCAGCACTTAGCACAATGCATGGTACTTGAAATGAGTGCCTGAGACATATCTGTTCAAAGAATGAATGTATGTGTGGATTATATGAAACGATTGAAAAAAAACCTGGACTCTGTTAAATTACAAATTGTGTAACTATAACGGATTGAGTGAAAAATTATTGACTGAGACATCAGAGATCCTGTTGACAGTCAAGAGTTGGTTCAGTGGTTATGGCAAAATGGCACCAGGTCAGTAAAGAAAGAAGCGAGGGGATGGTTCAATAGGGAGATGTGGGGATGGAGTGCTGGGGCTCTGAGATGAGCAGGGTGAGGGTGCACATGCTGGTAGGAAATGCAGATCTGATGAAGACTGGTGAGGTGAGAAACAGGAATTGGGACAAAAAGCTGTCAAAGAAGTCAACACAGTGGATACAAATAGTCTTGGCACGTAGTGGGGTTCTGTATCCATGAAATGAATAGTAACAGCAGAAATCCAGATAAAGAGGAAAAATGGGAGAGCATTTTGAATGCTCTCTCATTCTATCCCATGGATTCTACTTTGAATCTATGTTTATGAAGTCTGTGGAGTCAGTGAGTCATAAGACCATATCCTGCTTTTCTCAGGCTTCAGAGACCAAACATGAAAAACAACATCTTTCTTTTCAGCCCAGTTGTCACTATTTTTAAAAGAGGAGGAAGTTCTTACTGTAATTCAACAGGTTCTGTTTCCTACTCATTAGTTTTCTAATATTCGTCATGCAGTTAGAATGACTGAATTTATAATGACAAATATGCCTGCCCTCAATAAAAGTCATGAGGATCATGGATTTACATTCTGGAAATAAGTAAATGTAGGGGTCAAGGCTTGGAAAAATTTTGAATAAAAATAAATTGATGGGCTGAAAGGTACAGCAATATAAATTTCTCTTCCACCATAAAACATGTAGGGGTGGAAGGTGGAGATTTTGCAGGAAAGGCAGTGAGGCAAGAAGCATCAAGATAGCTGGGTTTCTGTTTTATCTGTAAAATAAGAGTAAAGGCAAACCTGTCCAACAAGGCCAGGTGTGGGCGTGGACAGGGCAGGGTTGGAGTCACTCAGATTATTTTGAACAGAAAGCAAAGGTGATGGTTTTGATTGGTCTGTTTCCAGTTTTGTTTTTTCAGGTAGTAGGAGTAGATAGCAGACATGAAGGAAACTGAAGGCTTAAGGAACAGGCTGGGAACAAAATTCAGCAGGAGGGCAGGGAAGAAGCAGATAGGGCAATTCCTGTAACTTAAGGGAGTTTGCCCTGAGCAGCATGGAAATGAGGAGTTGATTCATGTAGCCTTGGTTTATTGCAATTAGACACTCCCAAGTTTTAGTAGATATTCAACAGCTAGGCAATAAATGCATTCTAGAACTGTTTCCTTTTCCAGTGAAGAGAAACTACTTTGAATCCATGTTTATGAAGTCTGTGGAGTCAATAGGTCATAAGACCACATCCTGCTTTTCTCAGGCTTTGGAAACCAAATATGAGAAATAACACCTTTCTTTTCAGCCAGTCGTCACTATTTTTAAAAGAGGAGGAAATTCTTACCATAATTCAACAGGTTATTTTCCTTCTCATTAGCTTTCCAATATTCATCATGCAGTTAGAATGACTGAACTTAGAATGACAAATATGCCTGCCCTCAGTCATGACCAAAATATCAAATGCTCTATTTTGGTAATTTGAGCTTGTGCATTGCAAGCCCAGTTTCTCCTGACTCCACAGGTCTTCTCCTTGCAAAGACTTATCCAACCTTAACAGATAAATCCAGGGTTCTGTATAGCCTTGGGCAAGTTGATCTCATAAGAATAGAGACTTTAGTGGCTAAAATCTTATACAAATAAGCAGTAATAGTCATTTTATATAAAAAGTATAGTGGTAAAAAAGTCATCAAGCCTCTTTGCTTCAATAAGCACTCCAATGACGTAAACCCATTGATGAGCTACTGGGAAAGGAAAAACTATGTAGTTCTCAGTGTTAATTTGGGGGAGGGGATGGCTCATCCTGATTTTTACAGGGCAAGGTACAGGTCTTGAACAGCCCCCATCTCCTCACTCACTCTCACTGTATGGACACAGGAATGTTATGTTTATTAATCATTTATGGTATTTTATATTACTGAACCTCTACAGGATGAAGGCATCTTCTGGTGTGTAGGGTTGAGGAAATTTCACCTAAAGATTGGGGCCATTTATGGCATCAATCATTTGGCTAAAATATGTATTTCTGTGGCCAGAACACTGAAGGAAGCCCTGCTTGTGCTGACTGGGGAGGAGAAGAGGAAGGCCCTGATGGTTGTGTGGAAACCAGTCTCTCTTGATCTTCACCACAATGTAGCCAAGATGTCTAGAAGGAGTTTTAGGATGTTCAGATGGTCCCCTCCATAGGAAGCTGAGCCAGAACTTTGGAAGTAAGAACACAGGTACAAGGCTGTAAATTTGTCCCAGCCATTTAGGGTTAAGTAAAACCACTCAGATAGAGCATAAACTAGGACAAGGTCTATAAGCCCTGGGTGCACACCACCATATACAAAATCAGAAAATGATAGTTTATATTCCAGAGAGTTTTCATATATTTATATATTTTGTGTTCCTTTTATTTATTTGTTTGTTTGTTTTACTTGGTATAAAAAAAAGAAAACATTTGTGAAAGGTCTTAATTGTGCTAAGGGGGAAACAAAGAAATGAGTTTGTGCTCACACTTTGGCCAAAATTAAAGGGCACAGTGTTCAACTAGGGATCAGTATGAGTGACAGCAACAATTGAAATGTGAGAGCCTTAAGTAGAATGTGGATCTGGGAGACTAGCTGTTGGGTTCCATTTGAAGATTCTCTTATAAAATAGAAGCATAGTCGTGCCACGTTTCCTTTTACTGAGGAATTTGCTTTCGCTTTCCAGGTAAACCCAGACCTTTAAAGTGAAAGCATCATCACAGTCTCAGGACTAAGATTCAATGCTGACCTTTAGCTGTTTTCATTGCAGGATATTAGCTCACCAGACAGCTGGGTGAGATAACCTCTCTTTTAAAATAAAGCAACCCTAAGGGATTGGAGCAGCAATAATTACCCTCTTATTTCTGCAAGAAACATTTATTACATTTGAAGCTGGCCTCATGATAGTCAGTATTTGCTTGAAAAACAGATGTGTTAGTTCCATCTGGACTGGGCTAATGCTTGAATCTTGTCATTAACAATGTATTTGTGTTCGTCATTCCTCGTTTTCTGCATATTTTTAAGGAATTTTTCCTAATAAGGGAAAAGTTATCGAGCCACATTTGCTTGTAGCAGATTTTTTTAAGAGTCAAGAATAACAATAAAGAACTGGACAATTTATGTTGGAGAAAGCAATGGAATTGTTAGTGGGAATAGGAGAGTGACTATGTGAGTACATTTAGGACAAACATTACCTACAGCCAATATGCCTAGAATTGGCCATAATTGGTTTTTGTGACCAAATTTCTTTTCATTTTGCAAATGGGAATGGCCTTTAAGGTTGAAATCAGAGTGCCACAGGAATATTACTTAACAAGCTTTTAACCCCAACTTTTAGCAAAATTTATATAACTAGCACATTATGTGTTTTACTTAGCTTTCAATGTCACTGCAGTTGGAAAATAAGTTTTGCCTTCTTTCTTCCATGGCCTGCTCTTCCCCAAACAATGCCTGTTTGATTTTTACTGAAGTCAGTCTTGTGAAGATTAATAGCCAGAATCACAAAAACAGTTTGCTAGTTGGGCTCTAGAGTCCAAAATGTTGAGGGAATCAATTTCGTCTGATGGGACTACCAGAAGAGAAGAGAGGAAGAATTGTTCATTAATTAAGCAAGTATTTAATGAGAGTGTAATATGGGCTTATTGAAGCAGATGTCACTAGAACATAAAGGGAAGGCTAAAACAAGGCCTCCATCCTTTCACAAGTCAAATCTACTTGAGGAGATGAGATATCAATATCAGAATAACTAAGTGGAAGCAGAGAGTATTTTGGTTGAATGTCAGTGCAATGTATAGGAATTTGGGGTCAAGAAAGACCATGAATTTCCTTCCATGGCTGGAAGGATTTGTAGAGGAGGTAAGACTTTACCCTTAAACTTTACACTTAATAATTTCTTCTTTCCCTTGAGTTTGCCTAAGAATTTTGAATAATTTTTCAAGACCCCTATTAGTCTAACTAAGGACAGAAAAAAATCAACATGGCAGGCCTGCGCGTCAATGAGATTTCTGAAAAAAGATTAGCCGTCACTGACATGATTATTTTACATTTGCTGAACCCTGTTGATACTCAAACCTCAGGAGAAAAGGTTGTTGTCTTCTGTAGGGTATCCAGAACCAAGCAAAAGTCTGCCTTTGTGACTCTGGGAGTATCATTATATACAGCTGATGCTTTTCCATTTCAGTTTCATCCAGTTATGCCTAGAGCCCAGCCAAAGGCATTTTAGGATACCCGGCAGTCTCTTTCCATAGTAGGGAATTAAGATCAGATACTTCTTTTCATTCTTCACAGGAGCCTGTTTCCATGTGAAACTGGGCAGAGTTGAGCCTGCCAAAAGGCATGCTCTCTGGATGTTGAAGAGAAATTTGCAGAAAAAGGAACGTATCAACTCCACAAGATTTCAAAATACGGTGGGCACAGGGAATGGAAATTCTAAGGATGTAGAGGATTAAATATATATGAAAAAAAAAAAAAAAACCAGAACAAGGACTTGTCCTGCAGAGGGAATGCCCATGAATTCTCTCATACTCATAGAACAATGAGTGCTGTGTGGAAGGTAACGGTCTCAGTGGTATCTTAGTTCTTAGCTGCGCACCTGCCTTTCATCTTCCTGTGTGGCTTTCTCTCTAGTTCCAGTAAGGAAGCTTTCTAGAGGTTTGAGTTGTTCAGATGTGTGTAATACACAACCTGCATGGTACACTTTATAAGCACTTTTCCTGAAGCAGCAGGTAGCTCTTGTGTCCCTCTTTCCCCCTTCACTAGCAAATCCTATTTCTTTCCTGCAATATTGTTGGCAAGACCCAGAGAGAGGAGTTTGTCAGGAACTCATCGGGTTTAGCACTGACCAAGCCACTATGAGATGCCTAGTTTAAGGGGCATGGCTGTTTTGGCCAGAATATGCCCTCTCCAGAGCTTCCCACTTTTAGTATTTGCAGTAAGGGATTTCTCAGGCAGTCAGTAAGTTGTTTCCAGTTATGAGAAAATATTAACTGCATCAGTGAAATGAAAAGATGTGGCACTTGGTCAGTAATTTCTTTGTGGCTCAGAATCAACAGTCATCACATTCTCAGCTTTCCATTTCTGGCAGTAAGAATGCAAAGTCTAAAACACAGCTCTGTAAAGTATTTCCATAGACATAACATGGGTGTGTGTCTCTCTCTTCAGATTCCCTCCTACAGAGTGCTCATTTCTTGTTACTTATCCTCTTTTGGATTTTAGCGTATTTGTTTTAAAGGATTGCAAATGAAAACCAACCCCTCCCCATGAATTCACCATAAAAGTCACAGACTTTTTTTAATGGAAAAGATGTTTTTCCTGCAGATTTTCATCTGGTTCACACATTTAAAAAGACTTGCTCAGCATAATTGTCTTTGGGTGGGCTGGTCACATTCAGGGATTCTACAAGTGAAAGGAGGATGCTATATCTGTTCTGAAATAATTTATGTTTCAATGTTGCATCAGCTATGCTTAACGAGAAAATGAATGTTTTAGTGCCATTGGTGTGTATAGCTTCTTTCCTGCTCTAAACTAATAATGCTTCTAGACTTTGTAACAAAATTTATCTGCAAAGCAGATGCTTTGTTGTAGAATGGGGAGAGATTCCAAAGTCATTTATTGCTGATAGCAAAGAAAAACAGCGGCTGCCTGGCATTTGCAAATTGCGTTAATCCCCTTAATATGGACTAGATGGATTTGGGCATTTAGAGATGATACCATCATATTATGCCATTCTGTATTCCTAGATCAACAGATAATTTAACAATGTTCCTTCTCCTTAAAGCCCTCCTCTCAAGAAAAAATAAGTTCACTAACGCATTTCCCATTTTTTCCAGGAATATTTTGGGAAATATTCTATAAAAATCTGAACAGTTTGTGGGCCTTGAAGTATCCTAAAGATTTTTAGAAGCTGCTAGTTAATACTGGCATGATATCTTTCAGTGATCTGTATCAGAGATTATTAATGAAATGTGATAATGCTAATGAGTCAAAGAAAGCTCAAATTTGTGATGTGGCCAGTTGCACTTGAAATTGATGCACCAATCTTCCCCGGACACTCACACACACATATGGTGCATTTGAGCCAGTGGTTAAGAGTTTGAATCCATGCATCAGCCTCAGGTTAATCAAAGACAAAAACTGCTTCTCTTGCCCTTAAATATTCCCCTCAGGCTGCTGCTGAGCAACGTCTGAGGATCCCAAGGGCTGAGGCAGCTAGCTGGGGTAGGGAATCCATTGAGCATTTGTACTACGGGGACTCTGCAAAGAAGCGCAGCTTATAATTCCCAAAGTGAGGGTCCAAGAGAGAAAAGGGAAATAAATAGGTCTCAACTTGAAGCACATTCTAACCAGTCATAGCTCCCTTTGGAGGAAGCCAGCTCAAAATGTCCCTGGGAGTTACTGGAGTTAAGAGTCCAGTGATTACCCCCATGAGAGTACAGCAAACATAAAAGTAAGGTAAAATTTGGGTGACATGCTCTTCCCATGGCCAAGGTCATTTCCCAAATAGGCAATTGAATGGAGACAAGTTTTACAAGTGTGGTCTATGTGTAAATGGGAGATTTACATTTTAGCCTTTAAAAAAATTGTTCCCAGTGGTGACCATCTCAGGAGCCAGACCGAGAGTTGCCAAGCAACAAGAAAAACAAAGGCAAGTTCCAAGAAGTTCATTAAAATCCGCAACTGCAGAGCTTTATTCTAATGTTCTCCACCCTAGTGGAAAAGACAACCCAGTCAAAATTGATGCCTCCTGTCTGTTTCCACCCTCCGCCCTTCCTCCTTTGAGCTCCAAAAGCACACTGGTTACACTGTCAACTTTAGCAGAAAATATATTTTCTCTTATACCATAGTTTTTCGTACATCTATATGTTTCCCAGTTAGATCACTGACTGTTCTAAGGCAGGAACCATGTCTTATTTGTCTTCTTACTACTAGCTTAGTGCCTAAAACAATTCCTATACATAGTAGGTTGACAATAAATTGAATGTTAACTGCATAGTAACAATCTCTGCCTATTGAAGTTTTAGCTTTTCTTTAAGGCTGATTTCAAATGCTCCATCTCTTCAGAAGCCTTTTCTTATCTCTGTTGTGCTGTCATTTATCCTCAAATTCCTACAGCATCTTTTGCACCTCTTTTGTGAAACTTACTTTGTCTTGTATTACAGACATTCTAGTTCGGCCTTACTTTGTCGGGATAAGAATCAGGTTTTACTTGGCTCCATATTCTTGGATACAAAGTCTTGCACACAGGCTTGCTTATTCATTTATTAATAAAACTGAGCATCAACTATGTGGATTCTGTAGGACTGGGCATATAAAGTGAATTAAGTACACATGGCTTTTATTCTCACTGAACTTAAAATCTTGTGGGGAATTTGGACAAGTAAATAGGAAATCAAAGCTCAGTGCTTTGATGAAAAGGTATAAAGATCATGGGGTCACTTGACCTAATTCAGGGGATCAGAGAAGACATCCATGAAGAAGTGGTACTCACACAAAGTCCTGAAGAATGAAAAACAATGCATATGCAAAGGCCAGGAACTGGTACATTTAAGGAGCTGAAAGTTCAGAAGTTCTAATGAGCTCAAGTGAAGAATGCTTTAAATTTATATCACACCTTTCCCTCTAGAAAACTGAAGTGCAGAGGGACAAGACATAAAAAGGGGAAATCCAAGTTCACATGATGGCTAAACTAGCAAGAAGCTCACATATTTTGTCTTCCAGATCAGTTCTTTTTCCACTAAATATTTGTTTCTGTGTTTCTTTCAAGGCCAAGACCTTCTTTCCTCATTAAGTCATGAAAACCTGTTAATGCAGGAAATACATGCATGCAAGCATTTGATGTAGTTTATTTCTCCCTAAGTCATTCATATATTTCTATGCTGTAGTAAAACAGTGTTGCCTCTGATAGTTCATCCTTAAGAAAGAGAAAAACAGAAGTCCAAGTATGTTGGCTGGAACTCTGCTACAGTAAGTTGGCTCTCTACATGTGGGGAACAACCTCACAGTCTGTGAGCACATACCCCTGAATGTGACTTAGGCAAAGCTGGTTATTGGATGGAAATCAGCATTTAGAAGGCTTTTGTTTTGCTTATCTACATAGCTTCAATGAGGAAGGAGGAAATGAGACTATAAGTACCATGACCATATAATTTATTATCCATACTAGAACACTTTAAGAATGAAAAAGAGGACTCTTAATAATTATGCAAAGAAAACTGGTGCAAACTGGGACCACCCAGGTAAATTGGGACATATGATTATGCTATCTATAACTAAAACACCTTTACAGATTTACACATTAATGTTCAAGGTTTCCCTTTTCTTTGCCTTTATTCTAGATCATTTTTTATAGAAGATGTTCTGTAAATAGTTGATGTTCAAAGAGTCATCTAGAAAGCAGGAGAGCCACTTCACCTTCTCTCATCCCTAGAAAACTGGGTCTTAACATATAATTACAACATTTGTAAATCCTGGCCAACTGCACAATCAATTTTCTTGAGCCTATGTAACTACCTCACAATTTTCTTGAGCTTACATAACTCCCTGACACCTGGATCAGCACTGTCCATTAGAACGCTGCAATGATGGAATGTCATATATGTGCTCTGTCCTACATAGTAGTCACTAGCCACATGAGTCATTGAGAAATGGAAACATGGCCAGAGCAACTGAGAAACTATATTTTAAATTTTGCTTAATTTTTCTTAATTTAAAAATAAATTTAAATAGCTACATGTGGTTAGCAACTAACATAGTAAACATCTCTAGATCACTGGAAGTAAAAAGAGGCACCAGTTGATATGGCTTGGCTGTGTCCCCACCCAAATCTCATCTTGAATTCCCCTGTGTTATGTGAGGGACCCAGTAGGAGGTAATTGAATCATGGGGGTAGGTCTTTCCCATGCTGTTCTCAGGATAGTGAATAAGTCTCCTGAGATCTGATGGTTTTAAAAAGGGGAGTTTCCTTGCACAAGCTTTCTTCTCTTGTCTGCTGCTATGTGAGATGTCCCTTTCACCTTCTGCCATGATTGTGAGGCCTCCCCAGCCACATGGAACTGTAAGTCCATTAAACCTCTTTCTCTTGTAAATTGCCAGGTCTCAGGTATGTCTTTACCAGCGGTGTGAAAACAGACTAATACAGTAAATTGGTACTGGTAGAGTGGGGTGCTGCTGTAGATACTCAAAAATGTGGAAGCAACTTTGGAACTGGGTAACAGGCGGAGGTTGGAATAGTTTGGAGGGCTTAGAAGAAGACAGGAAAATGTGGGAAAGTTTGGAACTTCCTAGAGACTCGTTGAATGACTTTGCCTGCCCCAAATGCTGATAGTGATATGGACAATAAAGTCCAGGCTAAGGTGGTCCCAAACAGAAATGAGGAACTTGTTGGGAACTGGAGCAAAGGTGACTCTTGTTATGTTTTAGCAAAGAGACTGGCAGCATTTTGCCCCTGCACGAGAGATTTGTGGAACTTTGAACTTGAGAGAGATGATTTAGGGTATCTGGCAGCAGAAATTTCAAAGCAGCAAAACATTCAAGAGGCGAGTTGGGTACTGCTAAAGGCATTCAGTTTTAAAAGGGAAACAGAGCATAAAAGTTTGGAAAACTTGCAGCCTGACAATGTGATAGAAAAGAAAATCCCATTTCTAAGAAGAAATCTAAGCAGGCTGCAGAAATTTGCATAAGTAATGAGGAGCTGAATGTTAATCCCCAAGACAATGGGGAAAATGTCTCTAAGGCATGTCAGAGGTCTTCACAGCAGCCCATTCCATTACAGGCCTGGTGGTCTAGGAGGAAAAAGTGGTTTCGTGGGCTGGGCCCAGGGTCCCTGTGCTGTAGGCCCCCTAGGGACTTGATGCCCTGTGTCCGAGTCACTCCAGCCATGGCTGAAAGGGGCCAACACAGAGCTCAGGCCATGGCTTCAGAGTGTGCAAGCCTCAAGCCTTGGCAGCTTCCATGTGGTGTTGAGCCTGCCAGTGCATAGAAGTCAAGAATTGGGGGTTCCCAAAGGAACCTCTGCCTGATTTTCAGAGGATGTATGGAAGTGCCTGGATGTCCAGGCAGAAGTTTGCTGCAGGGGTGGGGCTCTCATGGAGAACCTCTGCTAGGGCAGTGTCGAAGGGAAATGTGGGGTCAGAGCCCCCACACAGAGTTCCTACTGGAGCACCACCTATGGAGCTGTGAGAAGAGGGCCACAGTCTGCTAGACCCCAGAATGGTAGATCCACCGACAGCTTGTATTGAGAGCCTGGAAAAGCTGCAGACATTCAATACCAGCCCATGAAAGCAGCCAGGAGGGAGGTTGTACCCTGCAAAGCCACAGAGGCAGAGCTGTCCAAGACCATGGGAACCCACCTCTTACATCAGCATGACCTGGATGAGGGACATGGAGTCAAAGGAGATCATTTTGGAGCTTTGAGATTTGAATGCCCCACTGGATTTCAGACTTGTGTGGGGCCTGTAGCCCCTTTGTTTTGGCCAGTTTCTCCCATTTGGAATGGCTGTATTTAACCAATGCTTGTACCCCCATTATATCTAGGAAGTAACTAACTTGCTTTTGATTTTACAGGCTTATAGGTGGAAGGTACTTGCCTTATCTCAGATGAGACTGAACTGTGGACTTTTGAGTTAATGCTGAAATGAGTTAAGACACTGGGGGACTGTCGGGAAGACATGATTGGTTTTGAAATGTGAGGACATGAGATTTGGGAGGGGCTGGGGTGGAATGATGTGGTTTGGCTATGACCCCACCCAAATCTCATCTTGAATTCCCACGTGTGGTGGGAGGGACCCAGTGGGGGGTAATTGAATCATGGGGGCAGGTCTTTCCTGTGCTGTTCTTGGGATAATGATAAGTCTCATGAGAACTGATGGTTTTAAAATGGGGAGTTTCCCTGCATAAGTTCTCTTCTCTTGTCTGCCACCATGTGAGACATGCCTTTCACCTTCTGTCATGATTGTGAGGCCTCCCCAGCCACGTGGAACTGTAAGTCCATTAAACCTCTTTTGTAAATTGCCCAGTCTCAGGTATGTCTTTATCAGCAGCATGAAAATGGACTAATACACCAGTGAATGTCACTAAGATAAAACCAGAAAAGCTTTCATTTACTTTTTGTCCCATTTAGATGTACACAGAGCTGGGATCCTAGTAGGCCAAGGTCTCAGCCTTTACCTTTGTTTGACTCCACCTCAAGGATCAATTTCATCTCTATTAAATATAGAGAAAGGAAAGAACATAAAATATATATCAAATCAACACCATTTGATTCAAGCAGAACATTGATATGTTAATCCATTTTACTTGAAACACCATAGTAAGTATTTATACTAGTGGGAACAGTAATGAACATAATCACAGGACTTCATTCCATGGTGTACAATGCATTAAAGAAATCCACAGCCTGGCCAACATGGCAAAACTCCATCTCTACTAAAAATACAAAAATAAGGCAGGCATAGTGGTACACACTTGTATTCCCAGCTACTCAGGAGGCTTAGGCAGGAGGATCACTTGAAAACCCAGGAAGCAGAGGTTGCAGTAAGCTGAGATCATGCCACTGTGCACAAGCATGGGTGACAGAGTGAGACTCTGTCTCAAAAAAAAAAAAAATTCAAAATTTCTAAAGAAAGTCCTACTTCTGCCAGAGCCTTCAATAAAGGGATATTAAGGCCCCAAAGCTCTATCTTCAGCATTTTGTATTCCTCTTAATACAAAAAGCATAAGGCCCAAAGCAACTGATATCGGATCTCCTTATCAAATGTTTCCTTTGTTCTGCCCTCTCATTAAACTATTTGTAACTCCTCTATGGCTCTTATTACTTTCCGTTTTGTATTAGCTGTGTAACTAATACAAAAGAGCAAAAAGTGGACACTGTGGTAGACAGGTATAATTTTACTTCTCCTACTGAAGAGTAAGTACTATAAGGACAAATACAGTTCATATACCTGTACTATATTTTCTACAACGCCAGGCACAGTTCTTTACACACAGTAGATGCTCAGGAAATGTTTGCTTGTTTATTTGGAAACATTTTGTATTAGTACCTCACATTGTGTTAAGAATTAAGTTTCTGGAACCTGAAATGAGATAAAATATAAATTCTTAGGCAACAATGTAAATTCTTATGCAGATAGAGTAACTGAATATAAATTTGAGGGTGTGGTAAGACTGATTTTTTTTTTCTCTTAGGATTGCAAGCTGATATAATTATATTGGAAAGCAATATAGAAATTTGTATCAAAAGGCTTGGCTGTAATAATTTTGTATTTGAGACTCCATTCCAATTATTTTTAGACTATTATATTGAGGTTATGAATTGACATACAAAAAGTTGTACATATTTAACATATACAACTTGATGAGTTTGGAGAGAAGGATATACCTGTGGAGTCATCACCATAATCAATTTCATAAACATATTCATCATCTCCAAAAGTTTCCTCCTACCCTCTTTATCATTATTACTTGTACGTGTGTGATAAGATCACTCAACATAAGATCTACCCTATTAGCAAGTTTTTAAGTATGCAATACAGTATTGTTAACTATAGGCACTATGCTGTACCACAAATATCTAGAGTTTATCTTGTATATTTATCCTGTACTTACATTTCCACCAACCAGAGTACCTGAAACTTTGTACCCTTGACTAATATACTTCCCCATGACCCCCAGCCCTTGGCAATTATCCTTCTACCCTATGCCTCTATGAGTTTGACTATTTTAGATTTCTCATATGAGTGGTACCATGCAGTATTTGTCCTTTTGTGTCTGGCTTATTTCAATTAGCATAATGTTCTCCAGGTTCATCTATGTTGATGAAAATGACAACATTTCCTTCTTTTTAAAGGCAGAATAATATTCCATTGTTTGTATATGCCACATTTTATTTATCCATTCATCAGTCAATGGACATTTAGGTTGCTTTCATGTCTTGGCTCTTGTGAATAATGCTGAAATGAATGTGGCAGTGCAGATATCCTTTCAATATCTTGATTTTAATTCCTTTGGATATATATTCAGATGTGAGCTTGTTGGATCATCGGTAGTTCTACTTTGAATTTTTAAAGAAACCTCCATACTGTTTTCCACAGTGGCCATTCCAATTTACATTCCCACCAACAGTGTACAAGGGATTCCTTTTCTCCACATCCTTGCCAACACTTACTATCTTTTGGTTTTGTTTTAAAAATAGCCATCCTAATAGGAATAAAGTGATATCTCATTGTGGTTTTGATTTTTGGTTCCCTGATGATCAGTAATGTAGAGCACCTTTTCATGTACCTGTTAGCTATTTGTGTGTTTTCTTTGGAAAAATGTCTATTCAGTTCCTTTGTCCATTTTTAAATTGGGTTCTGTTTTTGCTATTAAGTTATAGGAGTTCCTTATGCATTGTGGATATTAACCATCTATCAGATATATAGTTTGCAAATATTTTCTTCCAATCCATCCATAGGCTGCATTTTCATTTTGTTGTTTCTTTTGTTGTGCACAAACTTTTTCATTTGGTGTAGTCCTACTCGTTTATCTTTGCTTTTATTGCCTGTTCCTTTGGTATCAAGTCCAAGTAATCATTGCTAAGACAAATTTCATGAAGCTTTTTCCCCAATGTTTTCTTTTTCTTTTTCCCCAATGTTTTTAAAGTTTCGAGTCTTGTATTTAAGTCTTCAATTCATTTTGAGTTAATTTTTGTGTATGATGTATCCACCAATGAAATAATTTAAATACTAGGAAATATATATACAGGATGTTCATCTCTGCCTTGTTTATAGTAGTGAAAAACTGGAAACAACTTAAACATCCAACAAGAATGATTAATAAATCACTGACCAGCTAGAAATAGACTATTATACAACTATTTTAGAAGAGGTTTTATTTGTTTAAGAATGTTCACAATATTAAGTAAAAAAAAAAAAACGAGAGAAAAAAGTTGGGAGGAAATACAGCAGGATACTGAGTGGTCACTTTTGATGGTACAATTAGGATTGATTTTCTCCCTCAGCTTTTCTCTTTATATTTTTCAAATTTACTTACTGTCAATAATACGAAACCCACATTAGTATGTAATACGTGATTTTGACACTAATTGATTCCTCTATTTAGAGGTAATTCTAACTAGCAGAGACTTAGGACAAAAATCAAACTTTTAGACAGCTAAGCACACCTAGATTAAAGCATGTTTTTTCTTTTCTTTTTTTTTTTTTTTGAGATGGAGTCTCGCTCTGTCGCCCAGGCTGGAGGGCAGCGACGCGATCTCGGCTCACTGCAAGCTCCGCCTCCCGGGTTCGCGCCTCTCTCCTGCCTCAGCCTCCCGAGTAGCTGGGACTACAGGCGCCAGCCACCACGCCCGGCTACTTTTTTGTATTTTTAGTAGAGACAGGGTTTCACCGTGTTAGCCAGAATGGTCTCGATCTCCTGACCTCGTGATCTGCCTGCCTTGGCTTCCCAAAGTGCTGGGATTACAGGCGTGAGCCACGGCGCCCGGCTGTTTTTCTTTTTGGTAGAGGGCATGAGAGGTAGCTGGCTTGCCACATGCCGATCCAACATCCTGATTTTTCATCAAGAGGCTGAATAGCCAAGATTTTTGTGGCTAGATGAATGAGAATTGGTCAGAGGTGAGTTCCAAACAAAATTATTAAAAATATTCACACAAAAATGTATCTTAATGTTTGTACGATTAATTTTTAAATTGATTTTGTAAAAGCATATATTAGCTCTCTTAGGAAAACTATAGTCAATGCAATAGGATTTATTTATAGCCTAT
This sequence comes from Homo sapiens, assembly GCF_000001405.40. Taxonomy (NCBI): domain Eukaryota; kingdom Metazoa; phylum Chordata; class Mammalia; order Primates; family Hominidae; genus Homo; species Homo sapiens. Next base: position 207,296,613 of record NC_000001.11, read on the forward strand.
AAATATGGCTATATTCATATCATTATGTGAAACATACTCCAGCATAAGTCATATATCTTCATACCTCTCTATGACAAAACTTCGATTGCTTTTCTGTCCACCAGATTTAAAAAGTGGTCAGTATTTGTGTAGGACATAGGTGAAAAGAAAAAGAAAGTAGCAAGTGGAGAAAGGGAAGTTTGGGAAAGTCCAGATGTAGGTGATGTTGTAGCTCTCTGACAGTCTATTTGGGAGTCAGAATCGGTGTGAGTGCCAAGTTCACTACGCATAGCTTTGCACATAGTAGACAAGTGATAAGTATTAAATGAATCAAAAGCATAGGGGGTTCATAGTTCACCTACTCAGAATATATTCTTTAGAGTTTTTGTTCAGATGGATTCTACCTTTTCTAAAAAGGGGCAATTGAAAGAGTAACAACTAAAAAGGAACTAAATATTGTAGAAAAATCTGAGAAAGGGATAAACACAGTCTTTTCCTGGAGGATTTGCCATTTAAAGCCACAGCTGTTTTTAATGCCAAGTATCCTTGGTGGCCAGTGCCTAGTGAAAGTGTAGAAACTACAGAGAGCAGGATTCAAGTGCTCCCTGAGGGCATGGCTTGTAGCTTTCCCTTCATTATGGAATCAAGCCTGGAGAGCCAGTCTCTTGTTTGAGCTCATTGGTACTGCTCGCCAGAGAGGGACAGAAGAGATAAGAGGATCTGAAGAATATAAAATGGAAGATACGTGGATGGTGATAAAATTTAAGGGATTTAGTGATTTACAAATTCATGCCTTATTTGGATATGAAGAAAAAAGCTAGAGAACATAGTTTAGGCCAGTAACTAGGCTAAAGAAAGGAGTAGAATATAAGGTTGAATGAAATTTCCTGTGCAGTGCCCAGGGACTACGAGATATATAATAATTTTCCAGTTCTCTCACAGTTGGTTTTAATATTATCAAAAGGCTCACTCTTTCTTTGCTTTCTCCTGAGTTTTCCTGCACTCATCTCCTAGGTCCCTCGGGGAAATGCAATGGTTATTATAGTTATGCCTAACATTTCAAAATCATTTTAACTTAATCAAGCATGTTTGCATGGAAAAGTAAAGGCTGTGGTGCCAGAGAAATTTGAGTCTGGTCCCTACTCCACTACTTTCCAATTGTGTGTTCTTGGGCAGCTCCTCAACCTCTCTGGCCCTCAGCTTCCTTAGGTGGATCAATGCTATCAACTTCTAAGGATTGTTATACACAGTAGCCTAGTACTTGGTGTATAGTAACAACATAGTCAAGTTCAGTTGTTACCAAATGCTCTACAGATGTTATGTTTTGGGCTCTTTATTTTCAACTTAATATAGGTTCTTGCCTTCAAAATCAAGGTGAGACCAAAAGGTATGCAAATGCAGTGTAGCAAACAAGCCTAGACAATTAAAAAACAAAACAAAAAACCTGAAACAGTAAGACTAACATTGAATAGCAAAGCAATTTAGTGAAGAAAGAGGTTATGAGAGTGAGACACTCTCAAACCTCCTCTTTCTTTTTATGTTAAGTTCTGGGATACATGTGCAGGATGTGCTGGTTTGTTACATAGGTAAACGTGTGCCATGGTGGTTTGCTGCACCTATCAACCCATCCCCTAGGTATTAAGCCCAGCATGCATCAGCTCTTTTTCCTGATGCTCTCTCCCCATTGCCGCTCCTGCCCCCAAGCACCAGTGTGTGTTATTCCCCTCCCTGTGTCCATGTATTCTCATTGTTCAGCTCCCACTTATAAGTGAGAACATGCAGTCAAACTTCCTGTTTCATTTGGACCTCTCTACAATTCTGTGATAGAGGCAGGGGAAGTGATCAACGCATTCAACAAACTGGAAAAAGCAAAGCACAGATGGGTTTCAGCTCCATTACAGCTGCTATAAAATGAAATCATAGGATTAAGAAAATTTTAAAGTTTCTTTTAAGGCTGTAATTCTATTATTCTTTGGCTTTCCTAAAGTAAGCCTACTAGTTAATGTGAGATCTGGTACCAGAACTCGCATTTCTTGATTCTCAGCTCAGGACTTTGTGCTAGACTGGGAAGTGTTGGGGACATAAGAGAACCTCGTTTCAAAGAAAAATGAAAATCGCAGCTGGGCAGAAATGCCTTCCTTCCTTTTCTATTGGCAGCATTTTAATACAAGCTTAAAATGTCAATAGAACAGCTTTGGCAATGTTTGCTGAAACATACTCATGCCTGAATAATGATTTCCATCTTCACACATTAGTACTTTCGTTCTTCAAACTGTACCCAGTTCCTGCATACTTACTGCTGCTTGATCAGTTGAAACTCTTCCATACTTAAGCCTTTCCTCATGCCAGAAAAACCACAGCTTTCCACCTCTTAGACTTACTTCATTTCTTTTGAGTTGTTTACTCCATTATTACAAAAAGCCAATCATGCTTTGCAAGATAAATATTTACTCTCAGAGTTCCACTCTTCTTTCAGAAGACAAAATAGACACCTTAGAAGGAGAGCAAATAATGCATGTAGAATACTAACAATGGAAGCCACATATTTCTATTTGTGGGCACATAAGTGCATATATGCCTCTGGTGTGCTTTGTGGTTGACTTCTTTAGACTCCAATTTGATCTGAAGTCCAAAGTAGCCTCAGCTCTCTGAAGACACTGGGGCCTTATTTTGTTTGAAGAGACAATGCCATGGCAATGTGGTGCTTGCCTGGTTACAAGGACTTCCACAGAGGCCACATATTCCTGGCAAGATGTTAGCGGGTGCTGAATTTGAAATAACTATAGCATCTCTACAATTTGATCCTGCATGCTTTTATTCTATGAATCTGGTTATATATAGTAAATCCCTATTATGTGAATAAGAGGGAACTATACTTGACTAACTGTTTAGAATGCTAGATAAATTACATTTGCAATAACAGGTCGCTTTTATATGTGCCCAGTCATCTTTTTAACTCATTTCCTGCAGCTTGCTGCCCATGCTCATTTAATTTTACATAAACATGCTCTTTGAGGCTGAAGCAAATCTGACTGATTTTCAATATAAAAATAAAATATAGAAACTGTTCTTGAAGTTATTTCTAAATAGAACTTGTCTCTAATCCTAATGCAACAGAAATGTATATGATGTTATAAGGATTAGAGACAAGAGTATTCTCAGGGCAAATGGGAAATGGGTTAAAAATCTACAACTTCATTATATTTATTAGATTATAAGAACCTTGATGTGTGGAACTTGATCTTATTGCTCTCATCTGGCACCTGGCCTAGAAATTGGTACAGAAGACCTACTACATTGATATGTGATTCACACAGGTGTTGAGAGTACTATGACATACAATAGCAGATTCTGTACTGTGGAAATACTAGAGGCCTCCAAGGTAGTGCTCGGGATTCAGGTTCCTTTACTTACCACTTTGCAACCTGACCAAGTCATTAATTTCCTCCTATCTAAAGTTGTGATATAATAACATCCTCAAAGTGTTACTGTGAAGAATTATTGTGAGGTTAAATGAAATTATGCATGGATGTGCCTAGCACAGTACTTGACACATAATAGGTGCTCAATATGTTAAATCTAAACTTATTGAATTAAAAAGAACATACTGAAGAATGGGCATGAGAAGTTTCATGAGGATGAAAGTGCAATTGAAAGAAGTAAAGGAGAATGGGATTTTGTAGTCTGCATGAAGGAGACCGGCAGTATCTCAGAGGTAAATGAAGACTGAAAGAAAAAAGAAGAGGGCAACCTTGAGTCCCAGTAAGGGGTTGCAGGAATTTTACGGAGTCTAGGAGTTTTCATGCTTGGTTAAACTATTTTCTGTAGGACAAATTAATAGACTAATACTTATGAAAGTATATGGATGCTATTTTGATTAATAAGCAGAATACATTTAAAAGTACTATATTTCTGAATCTGTGTTAGCTTTTTATCATTATATATTTTTTAATCAAAGGGCACTAAAAAGTAAACCTACTATTTATACAAGGATCCAGGTTTTGATGTTCAAAATGAGTTGTAATACTGGGTTGGAAACCGCTAGTTTAGACTGATAGCAATTGAGGGACTGACTATAAAACCCAGTATAAGACCTGTCATGCTGGCCCAGGAAAATCCTTGGATCAAGTTATGAGAGTCAGTGTGCTTCCCAATAAATCCAATAACAATTTTATAACAACATGCACAAATTCTGTGAACTTTACATATTTATATAGGAAATTCAAAAATTCTCCCATACCAGCAATGTGAAAACGGTGTCACATCATTATTATAACACATAGCAAACACACACAGAGCCACATGTGGAACTGAGACCAAAAATAGTTTTTAAGACAGAGAAAAAATGGAAACTTCAGGCAAACTGTGGTCTAAGAGTGAAGTAATTAGAAAATAGAGATGTTGAAAAGCCCAGAATTCTGAAAAAAATAATCTCTCTTTAAAGCAGATGATTCTCTGTGCCTCTGTCTTATACAGACATAGCTCAGCTAGTTCCTCTGAGCTAAAAGGTTGTTTGTTTATTTTGCACAGGTTCTAGCAGATCACAGTGGGAGTTTCTGGTCTTGCAGTTAGAGCAGACATTTGGGAGCCAAAAGCTATGGGCTCTATTATCATGTATAATGCTGTTACTGACACCCTTTTCTCCATTCCCTTAGTTTATCCATTAGTTAGATATGGAAAAGAATTGCTGCCTCTCAAAATGTTAAGCTTCTTTAATGAAGATGTGTTTGTATGCTACCAGGGAGGGAGTAGTGCTCATAAATTATAGGGGAATGTTAACATTAATTTGTTGCCTGTTGTTCAACTATATATTAATTTACTATTAAGTGTAGGGTTGGGGGTAAATGTCAGGAATATAGCACTCTGCAAGGATGATTGATAGGTGGCAGAGTCCACAATTATTCTGCTAGTCATAGGTGGTCCAAGAACTTCAGGGCCAAGAATAAATGGACATTTGTAGGAGGTTCACTTGAACTCCAAAGGAACTAGATGGGAGGCTAAGGAAAAGGAGATGAAGTCAAGGACTGGCTGCATTTGCCATAAGAAAACACAAAACATACTCAATACGTAACTTAGGCAAAGTCAGCATTGAGACTGTCTTCATTATGCCTTCTTTCTTCGTTGCCTCAAATGCTTATTGAAATCTTACTATCTCTCAATCTTTGTGCTGGATTTTAGATTACAAGACTGAATAAGATAGACATGACCTCCTTCCTCCTGGACCTGACAATTGTTCCTTCAAATCACTTCCACACATGCATTGCCTGGGGACTGGGGACTGGGGTCTGGATCCCATGGCCAGACCAAACCCCAAAGGTGGGTACTGGAGTATCCTTAAATTGGGACAGATATTCACACTGCAAAGGTTTGAAGAAGCAGGAGCTCTTGAAAGGTAGGACTGATCTGTAGCTCTGTAGGACAACGGACCAATGCTATTAAATGGGATCTGACCATGAGGGTACCTCTTGAGAATAAGTTGACTTTTTTCTTATTTTCTCTTGGACTATGGTTACCAGTATATTTAGCCAAGTGTTTTTGTTATTGTTTTTATTTTATTTGCATTTTTAATTTCCCTCATATAATAGAGTATCTACCACCAACTCTTCAGAAAAATCTAATACATCAGGATAGCTTTACCTGATACCATTGCAAGGAATAACTGTATGAAGTTTAAAAAAAAAGTGTGGCCTGCCTTACATCCACCCCTCTGCTGAAACCCAGGCGGGACTTTGAAGAGGCTGTACCCAGGTATTCAGGGAGGCAGCCAGCAGTAAGGGAGGCTTTTCCTTGATGGAGTTTGGAAAGAAGAGGAGACTCAGGCAATGCATGAAAAACAACTTCCAGAAGCCTGAGAGGCAAAACCTTCCTTCTCCTAAAAGTCTAGGGAAATTAAGCTTTTAAGAGCATGTTTGTAGGAAGGCTGATGCTCGCCTTACATCTGCTAATTAGAAGGGGAAATCTATGGAGGCTCAGTGAAAGGTGTATTGAGAGGAAGGGTGGAAACTTGAGAAAAGCGAAAAAAGTGTGAAATAGGTGAGGGGGAGGATGGGACAGAGGGTTGATGAAGAAACATATACTGTGTTCAAAGTTCAGTTAAGATGGTGTAGTGTCCATTTGGTTGTCTTATTTTCTCCAGCAGATCATCTGAAGATTTAGAAATGGGCAACAGTAGGGTTCATCTACCTCTGGCATTTTGCCAGGCACATACAACAGAAAAATGAGATAGGAAAGATAAGGGCATTGAAAAGAAGGAGGAAGTGATGGGCCATAGAATGTCAATCTGGAGAGGAAGAAATGAAGACAGACAGGAACTGAGAGGAAGATACAAAGTAAAGAATCTATGAGTTGGAAGATCTCAATGAGGACAAAGAATGATAGGTTGAGAGTCATTTGATTAAAGTTTATGCAGAGAGACTGATGTTTGAAAAAATGTTTTTGGAGTTGGAGCAATTCCAGACAATGACATCTTCCAGGGTGTGTCTATGGGAATGACTGGCTGACATGGAGGAGGTCCATGGAAGTTAGTAAGTCAAGGCAGTAAGTGACCAGAGTATCAAATAAGGATATGATGTCATCCTGAAAATGGGTGGATGTTGGACAGACAGGAAGACTCTGAGGGTGTTGAAGTTTTTATAAATCAAAAGCAGGGTTGAAGAGAGGTCAGTACCTAACAGCAAGCAGAAGGTGTTGAACAGTAGCATTGCTCAATGGAACAATTTCCACAGAAGCTGGGAAACTTTATACGAGAGGGAAGATAAGAAATAATCTGAAACTGACAGAGTGGAAAAAGCATAGTTTTCATTTACTAATAGAAACCACAGAACTGGTCAGGCTGGATATCGGGGGAAATTCAGCCAGATATCGGGCAAAATTCACCCCCGATATTTCACGTAGGTTCTTTTCTATATTCCCTAAATGTCGGCCGGCCTGAGAAATAAAGGGAAAGAGTACAAAAGAGAAATTTTAAAGCTGGGTGTCTAGGGGAGACATCACATGTTGGCAGGTTCCGTGATGCCCACTGAGCCGCAAAACCAGCAAGTTTTTATTAGTGATTTTCAAAAGGGGAGGGAGTGTACGAATAGGGTGTGGGTCACAGAGATCACGTGCTTCACAAGGTAATAGAATATCACAAGGCAAATGGAGGCAGGGCAAGATCACAGGACCACACGACCAGGGTGAAATTAAAATTGCTAATGAAGTTTCGGGCATGCATTATCATTGATAACATCTTATCAGGAGACAGGGTTTGAGAGCAGACAGCCGGTCTGACCAAAATTTATTAGGCGGGAATTTCCTCGTCCTAATAAGCCTGGGAGCGCTATGGGAGACTGGGGCTTATTACATCCCTACAGCTCGACCATAGAAGACGGCCGCCCACCGAAGCGGCCATTTTAGAGGCCTACCCTCAGGGACGCATTCTCTTTCTCAGGGATGTTCCTTGCTGAGAAAAAGAATTCAGCAGTATTTCTCCCATTTGCTTTTGAAAGACGAGAAATATGGCTCTGTTCCACCTGGCTCACTGGCTGTCAGAGTTTAAGGTTATCTCTCTTGTTCCCCGAACATTGCTGTTATCCTGCTCTTTTTTCAGGGTGCCCAGATTTCATATTGTTCAAACACACATGCTCTACAATTTGTGCAGTTAACGCAATCATCACAGGGTCCTGAGGTGACATACATCCTCCTCAGTTTACGAGATAACAGGATTAAGAGATTAAAGTAAAGACAGGCATAGGAAATCACAAGGGTATTGATTAGGGAAGTGATAAGTGTCCATGAAATCTTCACAATTTATGTTCAGAGATTGCAGTAAAGACAAGCGTATGAAATTATAAAAGTATTAATTTGGGGAACTAATAAATGTCCATGAAATCTTCACAATTTATGTTCTTCTGCCATGGCTTCAGCTGATCCCTCCATTCGGGGTTCCTGACTTCCCGCAATAGCTGGATTGGTATTTTTTAACCATTTCTTTTACTTTAAATGGAATTTAAATATAATTTAAATTTTAAATGGAAAATGAACTATAATCTGGTAAATGGCATGCAGTTTGTTACCTTGCTTGCATATTTTGTCTTATTTTCTGCCCTTTGAGTTTATGTTAGTCTTAGGCTCTACATCATTCTTCTCTATGCCTGATAGAATGGTTTGTTTGTACCGCCCTGCAATATATTTAATATTATGATGGGACATATTATGTACCATGCCCAGATCCTATGACTCACAATTAATAGGAAAGATTAAGAGACATTACTCATTCATTTATAGCTAAGTGACGTGTTATTTTATTGTTTTATTTATTTTATTATAAGCCCATAAGATGATGGCTGTTACGTACATAACACCTAGACCAAGATTGCTAATCAAAGGAAAGGGAACTAAACTAAATCTCTGTTCTTGGCAGCGTCACTCATTGTCCATTCATTCATATGTTTATTGACTCTATCTTATATGTCATGCACTGTATTAGTTGAGCGGTAATATGACTCATTCCTAAGCTTTGTCCTTGAGAGGCCATGGTCTAGTGGCAAAAACAATTACAGATATTTGTTAAATGTTATAATAGAATATTGTTCAAGGTGTGTGGGAAGGTTACGGAAGACTTCCTGAAGCTGATAATAGTTAATCTCCATCCTGAAGTAAAATGAGTTAGGCAGGTATATAAATAAATCACATCTTAGGTAAAGGGCAAAGCAGCTGAGGTGGAAAGGCTGGAGCCTAGGCAAGCAATGCACATCACGTTCTGGAAGCAGCATGCAGACTGCCAGTTTGCACCCTCCACACATCATATCTGCTTATCCTGAAATTACACTGGACTTTGTGGATCCTTCGCAGCAGAAAAGGCTTCACTAAGAAACACTGAAACATATTCAGATTTCAGCTGCTAAATTAAAACTACTGACATTTCTCAAAGAATCTGGTTTGTCCATTAAGTGCAAGCTGATATCATCACAGAAATTTTTTATCTTGGGAGCACCTTTTGGAAACTTAGACTCCAGTTACGTATTTGAAATAGCGAAAACCTTTGTCAAACAGCCCTTCAATCCGATGCAAAACCATTAGTGCTTTGTGCGCACATTGGGCAACTGTGATCCTTCAGGATTGGCTGCTCTCGAGAAAGAAAACTCCCTATGGGCCACCACACCCCCTACTTTATCCATGGGGAAGCAGCGGTATCAAATGGCCAATGGTCCTAGTTCCTGGCACAAAGTAGAAGCATGATAAACATTAGTGATTAAACATATTAAACATGGAAAACATAAAATTAGTGATTAAAAATTAGTCTAAATCCATGTCTTACCAGGTGGATTGTTATCTCCAGCAAACCCTGGGCCTTGAATTCACTTTTTGTCAAGGAATTTTATTAAGAAACATGAGTCATATCTGAATATTTTTAAAAATATAAATTACAAGTTAATTGGCTTTGCAAAAGACATATGTTGATGTACTTTGTTGCATTTTAGGTAGCATTTTGGTTAAGAAGAGCCCCCTCTTTAAGCCATTTAAGAGGGAAAAGCTGATTCACAGTTTGCCTTATTTGCTAGGTATTTCTATTCCAGGGGCAAAGAAGATTATTCAACATATACTTCTGTTCTCTATTTTGACATATCCAGTTTTTCCAAAGTTCCTAGCCAGATGCTAAATTCATATAGCTGATAAAGGAGTCTCTGTTCTTAAGATGATAATAGAGAGCATTTCATGAAATGGTTAAGCAGTAACACATATACATAGTATATGTATATATATATATAGTGACTTCTGTTGAAAAAATAAGTGACTATTCGTATTTATTTTCACTCTTTCTCAAAATGCCACTAAAATTACAGTGTCATTTTAACTAAAATTAAAAATAATTTTTTAAAGGCATAAAAACACAAAAGAATAAATGGCAGAGGAGATGCAGAAAGGTGTTTGAATTGTTACCGATTTAGCAGAAAGTAGAAAGCTAAAACCTTCCTGCCTGTAGCCAGTCTGTTTATGCTGCAGAACCCCAGAAAGGCTCAGAAATTGGAGGCACAAAGAACCTTTGGAGATTAGGAATTAAACTGAAAATAGGAGGATCAGTTGAAAGTGTATATAAAGTCGACAGACCTGAAGGACGCTTCTCATATGCAGAGCATTTAGGAGACTATTATCATGCTTTTACTTTCTGCCAGGAACTAGGACCATTGGCCATTTGATACAGCTGCTTCCCTGTGGATAAAGTAGTGGGGTGGGGTGTGGTGACCCGTGGGAAGCTTTCTTTCTCGAGAGCAGCCAATCCTGAAGGATCCCAGTTGCTCAATGTGCGCACAAAGCACTAATGGTTTTGCTTCTAATTGAAGTGCTGTTTGACAAAGAAGGTTTTTGCCATTTCTCCTATCCAGAGAAGAGGCAAGGGGCATTAAATGGAAAAATCAAAATCAGAGTAGTTCTCAACTCTAGGAAAACTGACAGTGAAAGAAGAAGGGTAGGAAAGGCAAACATTGAATGGTGAGACCTGTAACTCCCTGGTGAGACTAAGATCCCAGAATGTTGGTAGCCAGGCTTATACCTCTCTGTTCCATTCCAGGTGAGACTTCAGAGGATTTCTTTTTAGGGAAATGAATGAGACTAAGAGAAAATACTTTTAGATGCTAACATATGGGGTTGTTTCCCACACTGTCAAGTTCCCAACCCAATAACCCTACACTGAAGCCAACCAGGAAACACACACAGTTTACAACTAGCTTGTTGGAGTCTCATTTGTAAATATTGAAGGAAACATTATGGATCATAAGATGCTTGAGGAGGCCTCCAACATGAAATACAGAGAACAAAACTAACAAACACGGACAAAAAGAAACTCGGAAGACAGACAATGCAAACAGAAGAAGAAAACAAACCACCGTCAAAACAAAGCAAAATCCTGTATATTTAATATCATCACATATAAAAGAAGATATTATATATGTTAAATGAGTAAATAATGCTGGTTAAAAACATTCAGAGAATAAGTAAGAGCTCATGGAAATTACAAATATTACAGCAATAATAAAAGTTCAACAGAAGCACTGGATAAAAGTTGAGAAATTTTAAGAAAATATAACAAGATGAGAAACAAAAATAGAAAAGATACAAGGTTTAGAGAACTAATAGGAGTTCTAAGATTAACAGTCTGACACTTTGGGAGGCCGAGGCGGGTGGATCATGAGGTCAGGAGATCGAGACCATCCTGGCTAACAAGGTGAAACCCTGTCTCTACTAAAAATACAAAAAATTAGCCGGGCGCGGTGGCGGGCGCCTGTAGTCCCAGCTACTCGGGAGGCTGAGGCAGGAGAATGGCGTGAACCCGGGAAGCGGAGCTTGCAGTGAGCCGAGATTGCGCCACTGCAGTCCGCAGTCCGGCCTGGGCGACAGAGCGAGACTCCGTCTCAAAAAAAAAAAAAAAAAAAAAAAAGAAAAAAAAGATTAACAGTCTGACTAATAAGAGTTCTAAAAAGAGTATACTGAAAAAAATTATCAAAATAATAATATAATAATAGTTTCCAAAATTGGAAGGCACAAATTTCTAGACTGAATGGTTCAGCATAGTGAATGGAAACAGACTAACACAAGGCACATTGTGATTAAAATTTCGGAGTTCCAAGTTTAGAGACAAAACCATAACTTTCAATAGAATAAAAGTGAATCAAACATAAAGAATTAAGAATCAGAATGACATTAATATTCTGAAAGTAATTCTGAAATTAGATGTCAATTGGAGAAATGCCTTCAAAATCCTAAGGAAAATGGTTTCAACTTAGATTTTAAGACCTAGACTAACTATCGATCAAGTTTGTAGGCAGAATAAAAGCCTTTTCAAAATTTAAAAAAATCTAAAAAAGAAAATTACCTCCCCATGCCCCTTTTTTTCCAGGAAGCTATTGGAGAATACACACCTTCGAAATGCGGAGAAATATAAGAAAAGGAAGACAAGAGTTCAAGAAGCCAGGCATCCAACAATAATAACTAAAGAGGCAAGGTAATTCTCAGGATGATGTAACAGAAAGTCCAGACTGGTGAATGACAATGAAGAACTACAAGAGGTTTGTACTCTGAAAAGAAGAAGGAAAAAAGTGGAACTCACAGTTTGTCTAAAGTTTTTGACCATGTTTCAAGGAAGTATATGGTTCTGTGCAAAGTTAGCAAAAGGTACATTAAAAAAATGAGAAAACAACAAAATCAGGCAATTACCAACTAAAAGTATAAAGAATTTGGTACAAAAAAGGAAATTAATAATACACTACATGCTAACTTGTTAACAATTTTTACATAGTACCAATACAATAAATACAATGTTAATTTCAAACTGCAATTAATTATGCTGGAAGGATGTGGGAGTGTTAAGAGAGTTAAATTAAAATCTTCATAACAGGAAGTCAACAGATAATACCTACTGAATATTTCTACTTTTTGGAGGGATGTTGGGTTGGGGAACTACTGTTTCATTTCCTTAAAGTACTATTTGGCTTTTTAAATTGCCTGTACACATGCATATGCATACATAGTCTAAAGTTAAATTTTTAAAACCACATATAAAAGCCATGTGGGAAAAGAATTATTGTGAATGCTTAGTAAAAGAATGTATGCACAGCACATAATACAATGTTGATACATCATAGAGTATTAATAAAGTCCCCAAGATTTGCCTGCTTGGGATAGTCTTATTAACAAAAGTTAATCTTGTTAATAAAACAGTCAACAAATATATAAATCTTTACTCATCAGTCCCTAGTAAAATTTTCCAACTGTTGTGGAAGATATAAAGAAATATGAAACATAATCCTTACATTAAAATACCTTCTAATAAGTTATGGCAGTTAATATTTAATTGGTGTTATATGTACAGTAGGCACTGTCCCAAGTTCTTTACATATTATCTCTTTTAATTCTATGAGATAGACATTATTATCTCCATTTTATTATATAAATGAGGAAACTGAGGCACACTAAAATGAAGTAACTTGTCCAGGTCATGGAGCTCATAAGAGAGGGAGGTAGGATTCCAGTCCAAGCAGAAGGCGAGGGAGTCTCAGATTGCTTTATAATCTAATTGAGGGGAAGAAGAAACAGAGCTAAACAACCTTATATGATTTAAGGAGGAGTTCAACATAATACTGGAAGAGATGTCACAAACTAATGCAAGCATACTTTAGGGGAAATTGCTGTATTACACTAGGAGATCAGAAGAGAGTGCAAACCCTTCAGACTGATAGCCAAGGAAGCATTTAATTGGACCAGCTGGCTGGGGAGGGCATTCCTTGTAAGTGAATCAACACGCAGAGGTGGTAACCATAGCATGCCAGGGATCAGCGAGGAAGGTAATTTGACTAGAGCATAGCACATTTTGTTCATCCACAAATAAAACCTGTGAGATCAAAGCAGGAAAGGCCTAATAACAAATTATAAATGGCCTTGAAAGCAGACTAAGAAGCTTGGACTTTATTTTGTGAAAACGGGAAGTGATTGCTGAGCATGTGCACTTAATCTGGACATTGTACATGTAATCAGCTGACAGGAAGAGAACAAGTAACGGCTTATTGTGGCAGTCTGGATAAGATTTATCAAAATCTCAAACTAGCCTGGGGTAAGTGAGAGTGGAATTGGCTGGATCCTGGATGAGAAGTCCCACAAGGACTTACAGAAACAATTTGCATTTTATCTTTCTACCAAGGAGAAAAGTTTTTCAAACTACAAAGGCTAGATATAATTAAAAGGGAATTAAATTTCAAAAAGTTCAAGTAAGAGTATCTGCTTTGAAAAAATGAGTTTCTAGGTTTCAATAAGTTACAACATAGCATAATCAAATACTTAACTATTATGATTATGAATTGGCTGGCAGGATTTCTTTTAAAATGAAAGTAAAGCTTTCTAGATGTAACAATAAAGCATGCTCAATATGGAAAAAATATACAAAGAAAAAAATCAGCAAACTTATTCACATACCCTTAGTTTGGTTATTTTTTTTCAGTCTTTTCTATGAATAACTTTGTTTCCATGTTAATACAAAGTTACAATTGATTATCATATTATATATAGAAGATATAATTTTCTTCTTGCTTAAACATTTTAATAAAACATTTTTCAGTCTTTTCTTTGAATAACTTTGTTTCCATGTTAATACACAGTTACAATTGAATTTTCTTCTTGCTTAAACTTTTTTTTTTTTTTTTTTTGAGATGGGGTCTCACTCTATCGCCCAGGCTGGAGTGCAGTGGCCCGATCTTGGCTCACTGAAAACTCCGCCTCGCAGGTTCATGCTATTCTCCTGCCTCAGCCTCCTGAGTAGCTGGGACTACAGGCACCCGCCACAACACCCAGCTAATTTTTTTGTATTTTTAGTAGACACGGGGTTTCACCGTGTTATCCAGGATGGTCTCGATCTCCTGACCTTGTGATCTGCCCACCTCGGCCTCCCAAAGTGCTGGGATTACAGGCGTGGGCCACCACACCTGGCCTTGCTTAAACATTTTAATAAAACATTTCATATTCCATTACAAATTTATTTGTATACATAACTAATAATTGCATAATACTTAATAATGTGTATATATGTACTAAAAGGTTTTTAACCATTCCTGTGTAGTTGGATATTTAAGCACATTCTAAATCTCTGTTTATATAAGCCTAATATCTCTTTGCTCAAAATCAATTTTCTGTATTGTGGATTACCTCCTCAGGCCGGTTTTCCAGCTAAAAATCTTAAGAAAAACAATGGAGAATGAAAGAAGTAAACAGTTTAAACATAACTTCTATTTAAGAGGGCATGAAATGGTTAAATTGCAAAACCTTAGTGAGTCACCAGAGTGATTATTTTTAACCACACTGTCCCTGAAGGACAACTGATAATGATATATGGGAAGTAACTATAGTGCAGAAAATATCTAAGCAGGCATAACAAGTGTTTAGTAATTAACATCAGAATGACATTATAGTTTTTATTAATTTTCCAGCCAGAGTCTCACTCTGTCACCCAGGCTGGAGTGCAGTGGTGTAATCTCGACTCACGGAAACCTCTGCCTCCCAGGTTCAAGCGATTCTCCTGCCTCAGCCTCCTGAGTAGCTGGGACTACAGGCGCCCGCTACCATGCCCAGCTAATTTTTGTATTTTTAGTAGAGACGGGGTTTTACCATATTGGCCAGGCTGGTCTCGAACTCCTGACCTCATGATCTGCCCTCCTCAGCCTCCCAAAGTGCTGGGATTACAGGCATGAGCCATCGCACCTGGCCGCAGAATGACATTATCGTTACATCTACACTTGAATGTATTTTATATTGCATTTAAATTTATTTACATGTATTTTAACTTAACTGGTAAAATTCTGAAGCATGGGTATAATTATTCTCTTAATGCACCTTATTCTTTTAAATTTCTGAATTAATGGAATCTGTAGACATTATTACAAAGATATATCTGAGCCAGTTATATTACTGAAATCACCTTTGCAAAAATTATGACAGTGAGAAAAATATGACATAGGAAAATTATGACAGTAAAGGAAATCTGACCTAACCAACTCCATCTTGGTTCTAACCTCCAAGCTGTCCTTGTTCATTCCCGGGTACAGGCTGAACTAACTTTGAGAGGAATTTAGCTCATGGTTTAACTTTGAAACAAAGATGATAACAGCCTTCCCCAAAACAAATCCCCTCCTTGTTTGGGGACCAGATTGCCTTTGTAAAACTAACAAAATTACCCACAAGATTAGGAATTATGGAGTCATGCAACCAGAGATCACAAGATTCCTAAGCTCAATTGCTCTGATAGATAACATTACTGTTGTAAAACCTAAGATTGGTGTTCGAAGCATTTTTCAGACCCTGCATTCTGATAGACCAGCTGGTGCCACCCAGACTGGTAAACTGGCTCATCTGGTTTTGTGGCCCCCACCCAGGAACTGACTTAATGCAAGAGGACAGCTTGGACTCCCTGTGATTCCATCCCTGACCCAATTTATCACCATTCCCCATTCCCTAGCTCCCTACCCGCCAAACTGTCTTACAAAAATCCTAGCCTCTGACTTTTTGGGGAGGCTGATTTGAGTAACAATAAAACTCCAGTCTCCAATTTAGCCAGCTCTACATGTATTAAACTTTGTCTACTGTAATTCCCATCTGGATAAATCAGTTCCATCTGGACAGTGGGCAAGAAGAATCTGTTGGGCAATTACATTACCCACTGACAAAGTAAAAATCCGGTGCTTGGAGTGAGCAGACCAAATACACAACACCCTTTAAAATATGGTGCTTGCAGGGATCTGCTTTTTATTTTGTAGTTTATTGTGAAGTGTGGGTGGTGTGATGGGCCAAGCACAAAACCTGCAGTTGATGATGTGGGTTCATGCTTTACCCTGATTATTATTAGGTGTATGACTTTGGACTTGTTAGAGAATCACTGAAATTCATTTAGAGGTTAATAATAACACCTATCTCACAGAGTGGATCTGAGAATTAAGTGAGATATTAGTGAAAAACTCCCCAGAGATGATAAGTCCTACATTCATCTAAATTGTTGCTGTCATTATTTCTGTCTGCCACATTATCCTGGCACAAGATTTAGTGGGGATTCATTGAGCAGGTGAGAGGTGATGTGGAAAAGATCCATAAAATTACCTCATTAGCTCTGAGAACCTATCACTAGCTCTTCAGATGGAGCAGTGAGAACAGGCTGGGATCAAACAGTATGGAGAAAAGAATCTCCTTGGTTCTCCTTTCATGGGAAATTGCATCAGAAGTTCCTGTGGATGGCTTGTTAATTGGTGAGCATTCTGATTCAACACTGTGTCTCTCAGAATATAGTAAACAACCAAGGTTACACTATCCACATCAAATGATTAATGCAATATGCTTATAATTGTTTTGTGATTTTGCCAATTTTCTCATATATATAACAACTCAGTGTTTTGCAAGTCAGCAAAGCCCATTGATATTGTTCTTTATGGGCTCAAATTATTTCACATCCATGGTTAACACTACTTCAAACTGATTGACAAAATTAGGGGGCAAAACGAGAAAAGGTGTATTTGGTTGTGCTATTCTTGACACATAACCCAGTTGATTCACTGTTGCCAAAGCCCACCAACTCCACATCTGAGACCTTTGATTCCATTTTATGATTTTTAATCAACTTCATTGAGGTATAATTTACATAAAACAAATGGAAACATTCAAATTATCCAGTTTCACGAGTCTTGACAAATGTATACACCATGTAACCACTACCCCAATAAATATATAGAACATTTTCCCCCAAAAGTTCCCTTTTGCCATTTTGCAGTAAATTCTCCTACCCTCTTGCACTCCCCACTCCCGATAGTCATTACTTTGATTTCTATCATCATAAGTTGATTTTGCTTGTTCTGGAACTTCATATAAATGAAATCATATAATATCCACTCTATGTGCCTAGTTTCCTCTGCTCAGCAAGTTTTTGAAATTCATCCCTATTGTGTGTATCATTAATTTGTTCCTTTTTAATGTGAAGTAGTATTCATTGTATGGAAGTGCCACAATTTGTTTAACCATTCAGCTACTTATGAATTGTTTCCAGCTTGTAGCTGTTATAAATAAAGCTTCTATAAACATTTATGTACAAATCTTTGTAGACATTTTTATTTTTCCTGGGTCCATACTTGGAAATATAAGGTCATATGGTAAGTCTCTGTTATGTAAGAAGTTTCTAAATTGGTTCTTTTCCATGCAAACCTGACACACACACAAACAAACCCTGACATAATTATTATAGACCTTTGGGCTAATGGACTAAATGACATCAAAATGAGGCCACATGGTCTGGAAACATGAGGGGGAAAGGATGTCACAGAAGTAGTAGAGGAGGTGGTATCAGATGGGGGACTTGAGAAAACAGAAGTGTTTTCAACAAAACCTGCAATTATTGTTTGTCTGAAGTAAATTACCTTCTTCATAGCAGAACATTTGGCTATATGAGAAAGTACTATTTATCCTAGAGAAATGATCATCATATAGGTAAATGGATTTTATTTGACATCTGAAAGAACAGTGCTAGGAAAATACTCACCGATGAACACTTTGAGAAAGATCGAGGAACGCTTTAGTCTTCATTATGCACCAACAAATAAAAGGTAACACGTAGAGTGGACGGAGCATAATTTTAAATCTCCCCAGAACTGGGTTCAAATTTTGCTTGGCTTTGCCATCTGTATTGTTTTATCCAATCATTTCCCCCTCTGAACCTGTCCCAACATGTGCAATTGTAAGTAATAATAGTTTACTCATGGCACTGCTGGATGGTTAACCAAGGTTAAGTCTCAAAGTGAGAGTATCAATGGAAGGTGATCCCTTCAATGTAAATTTCTTCTTTCTTCCCTCCTTACCCTTGTGCAATTCTAGTAAGCTTAAATTGTAAATCTGCTTAACTTGCAAGCTGTTAAATCAAGGGAAACAAACTGCAGATGGGACTACATTGGAGGTAAAGAATCCAATGTTTATACAATTCTGAATCTTGGTAAATGACCTAATCTTTGCTAAAGGAAAAATACTACTGAGTGGGGAAAGAATAAGGAAAACAACTAAATGATCTCCACATTGCTAATACATGAGAATTTCATATTGCTTTTACAGAATTTTAAAACTGTATGTCATGACATGGCTGTATTTATAGATTTCATGAAAAGTGGCCAAGTCTTGTTATAGGAAACATTCATTCATGTCATCACCCATGATCATTCATTATTGTTAATATTTATAGAGTACTGTGTGCCAAGCAATGGGCCAAATGCTTTACATACATTATTTCCTTTATTCCTCACAAAACCTCTATGAGGTAATATCATTACACCTGTTTTATAAGTGGGAAATTTGTGTTTCAGAGCGGTTGGGTGCTGGACCACACTCTCACATGCACACACACTCTCACATGCTCACATTCATACACGCACATACACTCTCACATGCTCATACACATTCATATACATGCACACACATGCTCACACAGGCTTTCATACACACACTCACATGCTCACACACATTCATACATGCACACACATGCACACTCATTCATACATGCACACACATGCTCAGACTTTCATACACACACACATGCACACACACATTCATACATGCACGCACACTCTCACATGCTCACACACATTCATACATGCACACACTCATGCTCACACATATACATGCACACACTCACATGCTCACATTCATACATGCACACACACTCTCACATGCTCACATTCATACATGCACATACTCTCATGCTCACACACATTCATATATGCACACTCACATGCTCACACACATTCATATATGCACACTCACATGCTCACACACGTTCATACATGCACACACACGCTTACACACTCATACATGCATACACTCTCACATGCAAACATATTCTCACATTCTTGCACACACATACTAAAATGAACAAACTAGCCACAAGATTAAAAATTATGGCTCAGGAGTCATGCAGCTAAAGGCTACAAGATTCCTAACCTTCCCAATTGCTCCTATAAATAATGTTACTATTGCAAAACCTAAATTTGTGTTTGAAGTTCACACATGAACACAGTCTCACATGTGTGCACACACACATTTTCTTGTTCCTGCCCCTACCTCCAAAGTGGAGGTAGCAAAAATTCACTGTTGTCTCAGAAAGTTAGATCTTGGCAAATAAATATTTGCTCACATAAGTCAAGCATTGCATTTCCCCCTGGCTGCTGAGCCTGTTCTCACACACACAGGGAAGTCAGCTGCAGGGCAGGATGCCATTTCATAGGTGAACATGTCACATGGAATTAGACCACTTTTTCCCAGGTCCTGCTGAACCTGCACCTAGTGAAAAAAAAACTACTATGTCTGCTGCAATACACTGATACCTTGATTAGTGAATTCCTGAAGAACTCATGTATAAGAAATGGGAGAGTCCACTCATTTGTTTTCATTTATTAAAAAATACCCTTATTCTGTGAAGCAGAATTACCTGTATTTGCAGCTGCATGACAAAAATGCCTCAATATAAAGCTCCCCCCAACCCCCACCCCCCGCCCATTGGCTATTTTAAGATAAGTTGGCAATAAATTTAGGCTGAGTTAGAATGTAAATATGAAATAGACTGGTTCCTCAGATGTGAGGCATAGATAGGCACATTACATACTTTGGTAGCATAGAGGAAGGTACCAGGTATGATGCAATGGCAAGGGAGATTTTCTGGAGGAATGTTGCCTGGCCAGTCTAACAGAGGTGTTAAGATCCTAAGCACTAGTTCTACTGCCAGCAAGCCATGTGGTTTGGGGCTAGTTTCTTAACTTCCCTAAACACCAGCTGGTTCACTTGCAATGAGGGTGATAATATTTGCTCACAGTTTTGTATTCCTTGGCTTTCAAGAAATTGCACAATCCTCTTTCCTTTCCACTACCTTCTCCTTTCCCTTTCTCTGTCATTTGTACTTTCTAACGTGGGGCTCCTCAAGTCTCACACCTTGGGCTTCTCTATTTCCACATGCTATGCTCCCTTGGTTCAAACCTTGCCTGCAGTCACATCTCTACCCACTCCACCTCAATCTTGCCTCCGTTTCAATCGCATGCTGGACATTTCCACGTAGACACTCTGCCAAGGCATTTGAAATTCAACAAGTGTAAAGCTGAATATGGATAGTTCTTTTAAATAGGGCTGCTAATCTCACAAACTCCAAACTTCCGAGTCCTCTTCAACATCTTTTTCCCCACTGTTCCTTATCTAATCAGTTGCCAAATTCTGTGGCTTATTACTTTGAAACTTGTTTGGTCAGAGCAGGAATGGAAATTCAAAAGTCTATAATAATTGTGTCAGGAGTTTTACAGAGCAACAGGACTGGAACTCCTTAATATAGATTTATTAATTTTAAAACTAAAAGACATTTTTGTTCTCTAAACACCTGGACTGTTGTAATTAGCTAAATTGGATCTTTGCTTACACAGCCATTCCCATTCCAGCATCTTAGATGCAAATTCCAAATTACCCAGGTGCTTCCTCCTTACAAGTGTCAACCGTCCTTTAATGCTTCTGAATGGTGTAAAAGGCACAGGCCTTGCCTTTAAGGCTCTCTCAAATCTCTTTCCAGCCTCTCTTACCCTCTTGTTCCATTGCCATTGCCTCAATTCAGTTCTCCATACTCTCCCTAAACTAAACTCCTTACTATTCCTGGAATCAACAGGACTGACCCCAAACCTTTGTTCGTATCTCATCTCTTTTCCTATTTTTGCCCTATTGCATTGACACTTGTCATATTTAGTTGAATCACTGGGCCTTTAGCCTTCCCCGCTCCAATTACCACACTCCCTTCTTTCCTTTCTGAAGCCCCATACCACTTTGGTTGTGATATTTGTATAGCATTTATCATGGAAAACCTCCCTACTAGATTGTAGATTCTCAAACACAAGTATTGACACTTAGTGGGTTTCTGTATACTAGGGAAGTTTATTAAACAGTCTTTGATTTAGTCATTGTATGGTTCCTGGGATAAGAGTAAGAACCGTGGTCCCTTGCTCTGTCAAAATCATAAACCTATTTTCTTTGTATTTTGACTTAATTACATAAGCTTGTTTTGGATTGGAAGGTCTATAGAGACTATTTTAGTGCCAAATGCTATTTAATCAATGCAGAAATAAGCCCTTGAGAGGTGCAGTGACTCAGCTGAGGACACACTGATAGTTTCTGGTAGATAAGTATGAAGCCTTGGAACTACTTCTCATATCATAAGCCCCTGGGTTCCCAAATCACCTCCCCAAGTACCTAATTCATCATCCTCTGCATACAAGAAATTTTTGCTCATTCCAATAAAAAGAATGTAGTACGGCAGGACAGGAGAAGTACAGGTTTTGGAATCAAACTAGGTTTAGATTCTGACCTGGTCGCTAGTTAGTGCATGGGCTTTGGTAAACAGCCTCTCAGCCTGTTTCCTTGTCTGCAAAATATGGATAGTTATCTTCACTTCATGAAGTTGTGTTGGTGAAATGGTATAATGTGTATAAAGCAACTGGAACACAACAAATGAGGCCATTTATTTAAAATAATCTTTAGTAAGTTATAAATTCACATATTTGCTTTTTTCTGAGGAATGCTTAGATTTTATCATAGATCTCTTTTCTAAATTGAGTAAATACATAGTGGATTTCTTTGTTTCCTTCCCCTCAGAATGTTGAAATTTGGCTGATTGTAACTATTACTTAAGACTCTATCCAGTAATTGTTCGTAAAATTTCTTTTCTTTTTTTTTTTTTGAGACGGAGTTTTGCTCTCGTCCCCCAGGCTGGAGTGCAATGGCGCGATCTTGGCTCACTGCAACCTCCGCCTCCCAGGTTCAAGTGATTCTCCCGCCTCAGCCTCCCAAGTAGCTGGGATTACAGGCACCTGCCACAACGCCCAGCCAATTTTTGTATTTTTAGTAGAGACGGGGTTTCACCATGTTGGCCAGGCTAGTCTGGAACTCCTGACCTCAGGTGATCCTCCTGCCTTGGCCTCCCAAAGTGCTGAGATTACAGGCGTGAGCCACCACGCCCGGCCAAAATTTCCTTTTAAAAAAAGTTATTGCCAATAACTAAGTATGCTGGAAGGTGAATGCTTAGGACATTTAGTGTCACTGAGCTGTGTGATAGAGATAATATTTTTGACACTTTGCAGAGCTCATTGTTTTCTCTCCATATAAAGCTATGACATTCACATAATAAACATGTAGAGAGCTTTAACAGACTTCAATGTTAAGTCTTCTAACAGCTGCATAACTGGTCTTGCTTGAACCTGTCTTTTTCATAATGCTACCTTGCCTTTCACACCAATTCTGTGAGCCCAAGCAGGAATGAAGATTACCTATCTCTAATGGCAGGACAGAAGGGAGTGGTGGTTAAGGTTACTGGAGGTTATTGGGGGAATAAATGAAGACCTCATGCCACTTCTAAACACTGCCAGGACCTAACATACCTTGTGTTTTTATATCCAATATGGGAGTAAAGGTTAGATATTTTAACATCAAATATGAGGATGACACTAGATGGTTTTAAAAGCCCCCCACCATAACTTCTAAACTCCACAATGTTCGAATATTGTTAGGTTTCAGTGAAATCCTACAGTAGTCCCTTGCTTGGAATCACTGTAGGATTGGCTCCAGCAATGGGCAACACAAGGTTTGGTTCTATACAGTAGGTATGGGTCAAAGAAAATGCTATGATTGAAAAATTGCTGTTTTCCTCCTCAAAAAGCTCATACCAACCAGGAAAGAGCTATCAGAAAACCTTCAGGAAAGAATATAATGATAGGATATAACAAATACCCCCACAGCTGGTCCATAGACCAAAGTATAATTCCAAGTAGGGAATTTCACTTAACGAGGTAAGGCATTTAAGGGAAAAGGAATCTAGGCTAGGACTCTGCTAGCCAGACCCAGATAAATTATTACAGGGAAGCATGTTCTTGAGGCTATTCTCTATGAAGAAGGGCAACCCACCTTGCCATCTATATCCTTTCTGTTTTCGACAGGGGTGGTCCTAAGCTGGATAGATCTTTACTCTGACCAGTACCATATAGGTCTGTGGTTCTCAAACCTGGCTGCACAGTGTGGCACTTTAAGTAATCCTGATACCCAGTCCCATCCCCAAAGATGCTGATTTAATTTGTCTAAGGTGCAGTTTGGGCCTCTGGATTGGAACCAACCCATATACCCATCAATGATAGACTGGATAAAGAAAATGTGGCACATATACACCATAGAATACTACACAGCCATAAAAAAGGATGAGTTCATGTCCTATGCAGGGACATGGATGAAGCTGGAAACCATCAACCTCAGCAAACTAACATAAGACCAGAAAACCAAACACTGCATGTTCTTACTCATAAGTGGGAGTTGAACAATGAGAATACACAGACACAGGGAGGGGAACATCACACACGGGGGCCTGTTGGAGGGTGGGGGTTAGGGGAGGGATAGCATTAGGAGAAATACCTAATGTAGATGTTGGGTTGATGGGTGCAGCAAACCACCATGGCACGTGTATACCTATGTAACAAACCTGCATGTTCTGCACATGTATTCCAGAACTTAAAGAATATATATTTATATATGTATAAATATATATGAATATATAAATATAAATATATATATAAGCTCCCCACGTGATTCTAATGTGTGGCCAGTCTTGCAAACCTCAGGCTATTTATTCTAAAGGGTTTGTAACAAGCCTTCCTCTTAAAATCCACCCCACCACCATTCAGCGTTTTGGGGTCTGTTTGTTTTTATTGTTATCCCACCCCACACCGCCCCGAGGCGCGCGCGCGCGCGCGCACACACACACACACACACACACACACACATACACACACGCACACTGGTGAATTTCTCTCTACAGTCAGTCTGGAGTAATCCCAAAGTGGTGTCTTTCGTAAATAAGGAGAACCCGGGTGAAGAAAATGACTCCCACCCGAACAAGGCATGAACAATGTTCACTCCCTACTGTGTTATTCAACCTGTTTCCCCAGGTCTCTGTTTTCACATTAGAGAGTGTTCTAGGAGATGACGCCCTTCCTCCTTAGTTATTTCCCCACCCTCGTGCTGGCCTTTGACAGACCTCCCAGTAGAGGGCCCAAGACGCGGGTAGAGCACCGCGTCTCAGCGCCTGAGTCTCAGCCCCCGAACTCCACCGCACCTGCAGGTCCCCTTGGCAGCACTCAAGCGCGGGGATGCTCCGCTTAGACGAACTCACGTGCGGGCAGCAAGGCCTGCGATACTTGAGCACCCCTCCCCCTCTCCCGTTTACACCCCGTTTGTGTTTACGTAGCGAGGAGATATTTAGGTTTCTAGAAGGCAGGTCATCGCAGGCCCCACCCAGCAGTGGAGAGAGTGAGTCCCAGAGGGTGTTGCCAGCGAGCTCCTCCTCCTTCCCCTCCCCACTCTCCCCGAGTCTAGGGCCCCCGGGGCGTATGACGCCGGAGCCCTCTGACCGCACCTCTGACCACAACAAACCCCTACTCCACCCGTCTTGTTTGTCCCACCCTTGGTGACGCAGAGCCCCAGCCCAGACCCCGCCCAAAGCACTCATTTAACTGGTATTGCGGAGCCACGAGGCTTCTGCTTACTGCAACTCGCTCCGGCCGCTGGGCGTAGCTGCGACTCGGCGGAGTCCCGGCGGCGCGTCCTTGTTCTAACCCGGCGCGCCATGACCGTCGCGCGGCCGAGCGTGCCCGCGGCGCTGCCCCTCCTCGGGGAGCTGCCCCGGCTGCTGCTGCTGGTGCTGTTGTGCCTGCCGGCCGTGTGGGGTGAGTAGGGGCCCGGCGGCCGGGGAAGCCCCTGGGCTGGGTGGGAGGTCCAAGTCGGTCTCTGAGACACGCACAGGGGCCGGCGACTTGGCAGGTGGGGAGCTTGGCCCGCGGTCGTGGTTCCCGCCGTCCTGTGCCTTTAAGGCTCTCGCCGCTCACCAGCATTTGGGGCTCCTGCTGTGTCGGCCCCCAGCTGACTTGGCTTTAGGGGTCGGCGTGGAGGGTTAAAGAGGCCCCGGCTGGGTTTGCGGAGCAGCCAAGCCTGGCAAAATCGAAAGGGAGGGCTCAAAGAGACTGTATCCTTAACCCCCAAAAAGCTGGTCTAAAAGGATGGGAGGCCAGACCGCTGACCGTTCCCCACTCTCGACAGAGTCCAGCCGTGTGGAGCACACGATGCTGCAAACTTGCATGTCATCTCTTTCAGGTGTGGCATTTCAAGGGGGCTTGTGTCTTGAAAACAGCAACTGTGAGGACACTTGATAGTCATTTCCTTCAGTTCTGCTTTTGTCTCCCTAGGTGACTGTGGCCTTCCCCCAGATGTACCTAATGCCCAGCCAGCTTTGGAAGGCCGTACAAGTTTTCCCGAGGATACTGTAATAACGTACAAATGTGAAGAAAGCTTTGTGAAAATTCCTGGCGAGAAGGACTCAGTGATCTGCCTTAAGGGCAGTCAATGGTCAGATATTGAAGAGTTCTGCAATCGTAAGTTCTTCATCTTTTTAGAAAAGTTCTGGGAATGGAATGTATCTTAAATTTATTTTTATATACCTTTGGAGTGACTAGTAATTGATAGTTCTCTAGCGTTACTAAACCCCAGGGTATACCCTGTTGGCACGTCACACTCCAGCTAATTGAAGACATTTACCACCCTGAGTAGGTCCTGCTGCTTCATTAAGAGTTTTTCTTCCTAACACTGTACCTCTTGAACGAACTAGTAGAGAAAATAAACAATAGGTATTGTTTAGGGAGTAAACATATAAAATATATTTGGCAATTGCCTTGAGACACATAGCGTAAATGATATGTTTTCTTAAGTATTTTATAAAGTAGGACTTACCAAATACAACTCTGTGGTGGCATTTTTAAAAGCTCTCAATATTTACTTCAAAATCTGTTATACTTGTACATATTTATAGGGTACATGTGATATTCTGGCACATGCATACAGTGTGTCATGATCAATCAGGGTAATTGGATAGCCAGTACCTCAAACACTTGGTGTTTGTGTGGAGAATATTCCAAATCTTCTCTTCTTGCTACTTTGAAAAAATATATGTATATATATAAATTGGGATATATATATAGGGAGAGAGATATATATAATTGGGATATATATATATAAGGAGATATATAATTGGGATATATATAAGGAGATATATATAGGGAGAGATATATATATATAGGGAGATATATATATATAGGGAGAGAGATATATATAGGGAGAGAGAGATGTATAAACTGGGATATAGACAGGTAGATAGGTTGATTGTTAAAAATGAATAAGAGGCCCAGTGAAGAGTTGTTTGGGGGCTAACACAGTAACCGTGTTTGATACTGATACCTAGTAGAATTAAAAGAAATGAAGATTTCTTGTTTTAGGTGAATATACATACAGTCATCCACACCTTATGTGCCCTTTGATTTCATAAAATATATATTGGCATTATCTTGGAGGAAAAAAATCTGTTACTTACATAGCCCTGTATTAGCTTTGAGATATATGAGTAGAGATAAAGATAAAGAGACCCGATAACCTGACTTTGAACAACTTAAATCAATAGAAGCTACTGTAAATACAGAAATTGGCACAAATACCTTTAGAAGCCATGCGTGAAATAGGCTTTAACTTTTTATTTTTATCCACAATAGAGGCAGTAGGATGAAGTACATAGTCTTTGCACATGTATCATGTTTTAACTCTTCCCCATGTTATTACTTTATCCAATCCTCCAAACAACCTTATGAGGTAAGTTGGGGCTCTTACACTCTTTTTATGGCGGAGGAGACAGACCCCAGTAGTTTAATAACTTCCTCAAGAGCAGCAGCTTTTACGCCAAAACCAAGGTGTAAACTTGGGTCTTCTGACTACAAATCCAATGATGACCCTTCCACTTGACCATGCCTCTCTAGATTCACATTTGTGGGCAATCTGTTTACAGATGTAAATACTTTATGTATACAATTTGTGGGCAATCTGTTTACAGGTGTAAATACTTTATGTATACAATTGACTCATCCTTGCCCCCAGGGCTCATGGGAATTAAATGAGTTTGTACGTAAATAAATATTAGCTGCTATTATTGTTGTGCAGGACATTAGTCCAGGGGTCTGGAAATACCCTATTCCTGTACTGTATGGTGCTGTGTAGTTCTTTAGGGCAGGGTAAGGAAACCAACATTTATTGAATGCCAGAACTGGGCCAGGCAACTTAAATTTTTTTTTTTTTTTAAGTGGGGATAGTGATATGTGTGTACCAACTCTACTTCCTAAGCCTCTAGTAACTAGGAAACAAAGTATACATGTGAATACATTTGCTACATTGCAAGTGCCATGGTGATATTAATATAGTTAAGTACTAAATATGCGCAAAGCAGTAAAGAAAGGGGGTTATTAGGGTCCAGATAATTAAATATAGATTATAAAACAAAAATTGATACTACATTTTTTGTTGCTGCTTTTGTTAATACTTTTAGGTAGCTGCGAGGTGCCAACAAGGCTAAATTCTGCATCCCTCAAACAGCCTTATATCACTCAGAATTATTTTCCAGTCGGTACTGTTGTGGAATATGAGTGCCGTCCAGGTTACAGAAGAGAACCTTCTCTATCACCAAAACTAACTTGCCTTCAGAATTTAAAATGGTCCACAGCAGTCGAATTTTGTAAAAGTGAGTAAAATTTTTTAAAGTATTTTCAACCATCTGGTGTTTGGGGGAAATAGTATCCCTTCCTTCATTCATGCTAGAACTCTATGTGTATATATTATTATATAGGATGTTTCTTGATAGGACCATGAGTGTCAATTTATTTTGAATTAGACTAAATATTTATGTGGTAGGAATACTTATTCATTCAAAAATTTCACATTTAATTAGTTTGAGGTTACCTAAAATAAAACAAGTATATATTCTAAATTCGTTGCTTTTTCAAAACTTATTATAAAGAGAAATTAGAATTAAAGAAGTCTAAGGGTCAGGCATGGTGGCTCATACCTGTAATCCCAGCACTTTGGGAGACAGAGGCAGGTGGACCACTTGAGGTCAGGAGATTGAGAGTAGCCTGGCCAACATGATGAAACCCTGACTCTACTAAAAATACAAAAACTAGCTGGGTGTGGTGGCGCATGCCTGTAATCCCAGCTTCTTGGAAGGCTGAGGCAGGAGAATCCCTTGAACCTGGGAGGCAGAGGTTGCAGTGAGCTGAGATTATGTCACCGCGCTCCAGCCTGGGCAACAGAGCAAAACTCCATCTCAAAAAAAAAAAAAAAAAAGTCTAAGGATAAGAAATATCAATGGTTCAGATGATGAATTTACATATATGTGCTTGATAATTTTTTCAAAATTTTTACCTGAGCTTTATTGAGGTATAATCGACAAATATTATCTTAGGTGTACAACATGATGTTTTGATATATGTGCACATTGTGAAATGATTAACACAGTCAAGCTAATTAACATATCTACCACCTCACATAGTTACCTTCTTTGTGTGTATGCCTGATAATTTAATTTTAAAAAATCAATTTGTATTCTATTCTAGAGAAATCATGCCCTAATCCGGGAGAAATACGAAATGGTCAGATTGATGTACCAGGTGGCATATTATTTGGTGCAACCATCTCCTTCTCATGTAACACAGGGTAAGTTTGGGCATACTAAAACCCTGTATTTAGGAAATGAGAAAACAAATTAGGACTTAAGGTGAGATTGTTAGTTTCATGACTGGTATTCACAGCTAGTAGCAATTAAAACAATCCCTCTCCTCAAAGACCCTTCATCATGAGCTCATCACAGTTAAATTTAGTAAAATGGGGGCAAGAAAGGAAGATTTCTTAAACCACCAGAATTCTCTAAATTCTGATTTCAGTAAATATGTGATTCAATATAAAATTTTAAATGTGATTAATAAAAAAATTTGAGATGATGATACTTGCAGAAATCTTCAAATGTTAAATACTAAACCAATCTTTAGTTGACCTAAATAATGAATTTGCATGAGTTTTTCTATATGCAAACAAGCTGTTACAAAACAGCATGAGTTAAAGACATTCCTAGTGTGAAAGTATTCTAAGTTCTTTGATAAGTTCTCTGTATAGGGAGAAGGAACTCATTCATTGAGTACCATCAATGTCTCAGACACTGTTGAAAACTTTACATTTATTTTCTCATTTCATATCTGTAAATTAAATAATTCTATTTTACTCTGTGTGTGTCCCTATTCTTTATAAAGTAAAAATATCAGTATCACTTGTCTCCTATACGAAACACAGATATTGGTTA
Organism: Homo sapiens; assembly: GCF_000001405.40. Classification (NCBI taxonomy): domain Eukaryota; kingdom Metazoa; phylum Chordata; class Mammalia; order Primates; family Hominidae; genus Homo; species Homo sapiens. The sequence continues at coordinate 207,326,362 of NC_000001.11, forward strand.
GGTCATGAACACAAAATCTGGGAAGTACTTTGAACCCTTTAAATATAAGTACATTCTATTATTCTGTGAAGCCCATATTTAGAACTCAGAGGTATAAAATGTTCAATCATCTATGTCATTTAAAAATGTTTAAAACACTTTTATGCTTTCTAACATATTCCCCATGCAAATAAAAAATGTACATGTCTTATCTGTTTTTACTCTTTGGATGTCACGTTTTTAAACTTAATTTTTCTTTTCCTTTAAACTACTGTGTGGACTTTTATCAACTACTGTTTTATATTCACCTAATTGTGTAGTAAATATTTTAAGATAATAACCTGGAGAATTTGAGGAAAGTCAAATATGTGTGAATGTAACAAACTCTTTTTTCTTCCCCTGTTGCTTTAGGTACAAATTATTTGGCTCGACTTCTAGTTTTTGTCTTATTTCAGGCAGCTCTGTCCAGTGGAGTGACCCGTTGCCAGAGTGCAGAGGTAAGAGTTAAAAAATCTAAGCACTCAGATTGTGAGGCTGAGTACTCAATGATAAATTAATTTCTGCCCCTTAAGAATATTAGCACAGTGTGTATTTGTAGCAAACCCACCTTTCAATATATGAGTGCTTTGCTAATTTTAAGACCTTTTCTAGTGATGTTCCTTCATTTAGCAGCTGTGAAGATAAACCAGCAAGTTTTCTGAGTCCCAATTCCCAAATTGTAGAATGAGGATTAAAAACAAACTTAGGTTTGTATTGCACTTGGTCATTTATTGTCTAACCATTACTTCTAAAGTCAAGTATGATAGGTGAAAGATTTCCGCCCCACAATTTTGTGTAAGAAAATAGTGTCAATCAGAGGGTCTGTAAGACTTGACCCCATATCCTAAAACAAGTGGCAATGGAAGGCATTTAACCAGGTCTCTTATTTCAAACCCAGCATTTTTCTAAAATCCAGTGTTGCCTACATGCTGCTTCTTAGGATTAAAATAATTAACCGAGATAATTATCTAGAGGGGTTTTAAGGTGTGATATATTCTTATCATTAGAGAGATAAGCTTATACCGTCAAGAAGAAATACTGTGTCTGTATTTGAGAATCTTCTCAAAGAAAGATATGGTGCAGAAATAATATTATAAATGGATATATATCCAGTCAAATTTATGTCAATTAGAGACACATGTCTCTTGGAAATTGAGAGGAATAAAATACATGCAACATTTTAAAATGTAGGCTTGCTTTCTTTCCATCCTTCTCTCTCTCCACACACAATGTGCCCTCCTGCAAATGACTTCTGAAGGCCCTATTGTCAAAATTATTGATAAGTTAAAGTTTTTGTATGTTACTAGGGGAAGAAAACTAGAGTAGATTTAGTGTAATTTATCAAGCATTTATCGATTGACACTCTGGTAGGCAACGTGTACGGTCAACTGACACGAAGACAAATAAAATGAAGCCGTGCCATTAAGGAGCCTGTCCCTGCCACACCCACCATGTGCCCTTCTTTTTGAGATGTCATACTACTACCTTTTTTTTCTCATTGTAGTTGTTTTTAAATTTTTCATCATTGCTACCCAGTAGCACCTTTCCCATTTTCGTTGTCCAGTAAGAGACATTGTAAATGATAGTAAATTAAAGATAGAAAACAAGGAAAAGCTGGGCCATATCTTTTGTTTGACCCAGGCAACATGTCACAAAGTTCAGACAAACAGTCTCCCATCTGAAGCCAGTATTTTCACAAGCACCTGCTGTGTCATGAATTTGACAGAAATGCAAACCCACTTTATCTTCCTGCTTGCACATCTAGGCCACAGCCTTGCTTCCCTATCTGGTGTCTTGAACTCCATGCTGAATATTCTGATGTTCATGTTTTCCTCCTTGACTCTTCTATCCTCTCTGTGACTCAGCAACCACTGACATCTGCATCCTGTAGGAAAGAGCCCCTGTTCTTAAGCAATCCCAGTGCCTTCAAATATCCCTATAAGGCCTTACTTCTTTCAGGATCATTTTGATTTTCCACATAACTTGTTTTGACCATACCAAAAAGATTGAATGGAAAGTGAATTCTTAAACAATGTACTGCTTCACCTCAAGTATGTAGCCCTAGACTATAAACACATGAGGTTGCTTCAGTGTCCATGCGTGAATATGGATACGAAGAAGGAAAGAACAGTGGACACATTCACTAATTGTCTATAGTTATACAGAAAACAGAGGTGCTGCTAGTTTACCTCTGAATAGAGCCTCACTGTCAGAGGACCTGTTTGCTTATCTCTCTGCCAATGTTTTCTTTTTCAAAATTTTAGTTGACTGATGGTATCTGCTAACCTAGAATCAATCCCTGCTATATGACTATCATGCCAGACCCTTCTCTTTATCTTAACTCCCCACATCTCATCCCTAAATCATTGTGCTTTACCTCCTCAATCTGTTTTTCAAACTTGTGTTTTGCTCTCCATCTGTATATTTCTAGCATAGTTTATTATTCCTCCTGTGGACTATTGCAATTAGGGCCACCCCTAACATTTTCAGGGCCCAGGCAAGAATATAAATGGAGGTCGCTGGCCTAAGACCCACCTTGTATCAAATAGCCCTTCCTCTTCCCACACTGTATGGGTTCTCTGGTGCACATAAGCGGACAACTCAGCCTACATACCCAAGACATGTCCACCACATCCACCATAACTTGTATCCACCCTCCATTGTCTGTTGGGTTAGAGGTGAGTATATCAGCAGGATAGACCACCCTCAAGAACATGGACCAGTGGGAGGGACCCTCTCAGGCCCTGGAAGGGGTGTTGGCACAGGGAATTCTGGGTGCTAGTTCCTGGAGCATGTTCTGGAATGGAGGAGAAGTCGTAGGACAGGCTGTCATTGAGTATATGCTATCAGCCTACAAACATCCCACCAACAGGGGAGAAATGCATCCAGAGGAGGGCCAGAGCACAGCCTTTTAAAATGTGGGGTTTGAGGCAGCAATCTTAGTTGCCTGAGTTCAAGAGTGACACTGATAGCAATGGCCTCCTGCCTCCATTCTTTCACTCTATTAATGTTTCATCCATATTTTACCCAGAGCGATCTGAAACACAGATGTGACTTAGACATCTATTTCCTCCTTAGAGCTTATTCATATCTCCTATCACTTAAAAAGCCCAAATTCCTTAGTATAGTGTACAAGGCAGCCATGGTCTACCTACTGCTTGACACTCAGGTCTTGCCTTCATGTTTTATGCCTTATACATGCAAACTGCTGTGGTTTCCATGTACCTCTTTTTTTTCTTTTTTTTAAATTGAGACAGGGTCTCACTCTGTTGCCCAGGCTGAAGTGCAGTGGTGCGATCACAGCTCACTGCAGCCTCAACCTCCTTGGCCCAAGTGATCCTCCCACCTCAGCCTCCCTTGTAGCTGGGACTATAGGTGCACACCACCATGCCCAGCTAATTTATGTATTTTTTGCATAGACAGGGCTTCCTCATGTTGTCCAGGCTGGTCTCGAACTCCTGGGCTCAAGCAGTCTGCCCGCCTCAGCCTCCCAAAGTTCTGGGATTACAGGTGTGAACCACCATGCCCCGCTGCCCCTTCTTTACTTAGCTATATTTTCCTTACTAAGAGTTAGTTCCCTAGCCCATCAGAAAGATTCCCAGGCTGGCTACTTCGGGATGACCCTTGCATTTTTTATTGAAATCATTTCTGAATCTTTTTTCCCACTAGCTTTTAAGACATAGGAACTATATCTTGTTCAGCTTTGCGCTTCCAATTATAAAAAAATGCCTGGCGTGTGTTAGGCACTCAGAAAATGTTTGAACTGAACCAATGGTGTGTGTGTCTCTGCACACTCTAAGTTAGTGTAAATCAGAACAGCTTGTTGTTGCTGCTTGTTTTGATCCAAGACCAAAGAGTGATTGATAAATGTGCTAAGTATTTTCTGTGTTCTTAAGTATGTTTGGTGTAACATAATTTGGCATACACACATATTAAATTGCCTTCATTCTTAAAAAAAAAAAAAAGGACAACAACATCATGCCTTTAGATTATGTGGAACCATTGAATTTTTTCTCAGGGTAACTGCCAGGGAGTGGTCCCTTTTTACAGTATAACTAAAAAAACTTCTGCTTGTATTTATTTTGTAAGTTCAGCTGCTCAGTAAGATTGTTTTGAGTGAAGTCTCTGTGAGTCCATATGTGCTAAAAATTTTTACTCTAGAAGTCAAAATGTAATCCTGACATTTAAGATCTCTGCTGTATCCAAAATGATCTATACTTAACTCTTAAACATGCTGCTTGAATTTTCAACTCCTTGCATTTGCTAGCGTTTCCCTCTTAGAGTGAAGAGCAACGCTTTCTCCGCTGTTCTCTCTCAAAAGCATGGTACATATTAGGTTTAAACTCAAGTTCTATTTCCCTGCCCAAGTCTTCTCTGACTACACTGCTTTCATCTCTAAAATCCTGCAGCATTCACTTTTCCTAGCACCGTTTTGATATGCACACATCTTACTATAATTTTTCTTTTACATACATGTTCTGAATCTTATTATTTCTATGAATTGGTCTCAAGGTTAGCATTTGTCTTCTACACCATTTGCATTCAAAGCTCCCACATACTACCAATTACTTAATAGGCATTTATAAGCATCTCTTGTTGGTAATGCTGAATTTAGAAAAATGATATTTTGATTTCTTTAAAATATAATCTTTAACATGTTTTGATCTTATTTGTAAAAATACTTTACTAGTTTTATTTATTTAAAAGATGTTGGAATTGTTTTTTAAGAAATTTATTGTCCAGCACCACCACAAATTGACAATGGAATAATTCAAGGGGAACGTGACCATTATGGATATAGACAGTCTGTAACGTATGCATGTAATAAAGGATTCACCATGATTGGAGAGCACTCTATTTATTGTACTGTGAATAATGATGAAGGAGAGTGGAGTGGCCCACCACCTGAATGCAGAGGTAATCACTTTGGATAGTTATATTTTTGCTTTATTCTTACCCTCAGGTCTATATGTGGGTTGCAGACATTCAATGAACCCCCTAAGAAAAAAATGTAAAATGTTTACATATACATATTTGTATTTTTCTGTGGGACACAATTTTTCTACAGCTTCTCAGAAGGGTCTATGGCTTGTATACACACACACACACACATACTCACACATATTATGATGTGTATATATAAAATAGGCCTCATATTTTTGGCAAATTTGCTTACATTTGCTGTTTTATACCATGTTGCTTTCAGTAAGTTAATATAGGTACTTTGTTTATACAAAGAGATATAAAGTGGTTTATTGGAGGGAGAATCTTAGATTGAAGGCTCTAGATAGTGATCATACCTGTTGCAACAACTGGGAAACTCTTGCCATCTGTTGACTTCACTGAATTAACATTCAATTCTTTTCTGCCTCCAGAATTTCTATTATTATCCATTCTCCTTCATCCTTCTAGACGTTTTTCTTTCAATGTCTTTTTATACCCAGAAGGTACTCTCAGAATCCTTCGAACTGCTTTTTAAATATATTTTAAAAGAAATATTTAGAAGATCAGTGAAGCTGGACTAAACATTGCCTAGTATCAATAGGTGGCGTTTAAGTAGTGGTGAATACCAACATGACTCAAGCATTTGAGTATTTACTTTTATAATTATAATTGAAATTTTATTAGTATGAATTTTAAAAATTCCTTATTAAAATAGATTTTTATTATAAGTGTTATACATAGACATAATGACATAATATTAAAGCCAGGGAGATGAGTACAAAATGGGAAGTGAAAGTCTCTTCTCTATCACTAGTCCTACTCGGAGAGGTAACAATTTTTTACAAATTCTTTTGTTTTATTCTAGAATATAAATAAACATACAAATATTTTTTATTTATTATATCAATGGTGTGGGTATTCATTTATCTAACCAGTCCTCTATTGATGACAATTTAGGTTTTTTGTTCTAGTTTGATTTTTTTTATGAACTATTATTACAAATGATGCTATAATATTCTTGTACATCTGTCACTGCACATATATGCAAGTACATTTGTACAATAAATTCCTTGTAGTATAATTATTTATAACAAAGGTATGTGAATTACATTTTTCATGCCCATTAGTAGCACTGCTTTTTAAAAGACTGTACCAATTTAGTCTCCCACTGATACAACATCATTGTGGTGTTTGCACCTTTAATGATAATGATTGTTAGGGAGATTTGACAATGTAAATGGTAAAAATTTGTATTATTTGAATTCATTTAATTATGAAGTTTAGTGTGTGTGCTTTTTTAATTTGGCCATTTGATCCAGTTCATATTTATTTTTCCAAGTTTTATTAAATGATCAGTTATTTAGAGCTTAAAAAACCATATGGAAGTACCCAAGTAGGTCATGGCAGGCTGATGCTTCCATTAAAACGACTATAAAATCTCAATAGATTACCAAAAAATTATATTTTTTAAGGCATAAGATACAGCTGTGGAAGCAACAAGGTCTGAATGAACTAAAATTCCTGGGGGCAGGTGGTGAAGGCAACCCATCCTGATGTAAGGCAGTTTTCCCTAGGGACCTTTGCTGATTCTGAACCTGGACTAAGGATTCACCTTGACCCAGACAAAAGACCACTTCTAGGAAAGAGAAACCAGCAAAGCTTTAATGGTTATGGAGGGATAGGGTAATACACTGGAAATTGAGGCCCTCAAATGCAGAACCAATTTTTCCTAAAGGCCATTTGCAAATTTTGGGGCTGCATGTGAGGCTGGGAAGGTTGACCCAGAGCTTCTAAAGTACAAAATGAAATCTCTCAGAACCTGATGGTATTTGGATAGCATATACCCACCAGAGGAACAGGCTTTTATCTAGCATACCACAGGTCTCCCCTTTAGCACATCTGTGCTCATTTTGAAACTGTATAGGGAAGGACATTAGGTGGCTGGGAGAACTCTGAAGGACAGACCTGGATCTCCTGCCACCTTCCAAAGGTGAAACAACAAAAATCCGCCAGGCTTTCAGTCAGAAGCCCGGAAGGGCCACTCCCAAGGAACAGAGGCAAGAGCAGAAGTAGATGGAGTCTTACTGAAACTGAAACCCAGCTCAATTCCTAATAGGTTGAAGATATGATTACCTCAATGCAGTCTGCTTATCAGAAAGGCATATCATATCATCCGGATGGTTTATATACAATGTTTGGCATACAACAAAAGACTGTTAGATATGGAAGGAAGCAAGAAAATGTGACCAAATCAAGAGAAAACAAAACCAAATAAAGAATATCCAGATAATTGAGTTAGCAAATGAGAACCTTAAAATAACTGATTAACAAGTTTAAGATGATAAAAGAAAAGAGAACTTCAGTTGGAATCTGCAAAAATGGTGTAAAATGAATATTCTACAACTGGAAAATATCTGAAATTAAGAACACAATAGATAGGTTTAGCTATTCAGGCAGAGCAGGAAACAGTATTAGGAACTGAAAGATCGGTTAAAAATACCCAAACTGATGCACAAAGAGAAAAAGGAATGTGAAATATAGATAAAAGTTTGAGACATTTGAGACATGTTAAACTGTGCTAACACATTAGGAAAAAGAGAAAGTGAGACAAAAAGGAAGAGGGGAAGGAGGAGGAGGAGAAGAGAAATAGGAGCAGAAGAAATATTTAAAATGATACTTACTCAGAATTTTCCAAAACTGATAAAGTACATTAGCCAACAGATTCAAGAAGCTCTCTGACTCTAAGCTGAATAAAAATAAAACCACTTTAGCAAAAAATCTAACTCTAAGCTGAACAAAAATAAAACCACTCGTAGCAAAAACAAACAACAAAAACTTCAAAGAAGCAACAGTATAACTGATTACTGCTCAGCAAAAAATGATGCAAACCAAAAGACAATAAGAAGAAATCTTTAAAATACTGTAAGAAAATTACTGTTCACCTAGAATTTTATACCCAGTTAATATATCCTTCAAAACTGAATGCAAAATAGAGATGTATTCAGACAAAAACCAAGAAAACTTTGCACTAGCAGACCAAACATGCACAGAATGAGAAACTAAAGGAAATTCTTCAAGTAGAATGAAAATAATGCCAGGTAAAACATGAAAATACAAAAGGAAATGAACAGTGACAAGGATAAATGAATACTGAGTTTACAAACAGTGAATGTAATGTCCTGTGGGGTCTGAATTATACATAGAATACAAATGCACAATAACAATGCGAAAGGCAGAAAGAGGTAAATTCATTTAAAGGTTACACAGTTCTAGCAGTACTGAAAAGGTGGTAAAAGTGATAGTTTGCATAATTGACTTATAGTCTAATAAATATTGTGATCTCTAGGGTTGCTACAAATGAATGACAGAAGAATACATAAATCACAAGCTAATAAAAGAATAATAATGGATATTTAATCCAAAAGAGAACGAGAGAGAGAGAAGCAGAAAGGAACACAGAATAGATGGGAGAAATAGAAAACTAATAAGGTTGTTGATATAAACCCAAGTATGTCAGTAATTATGTTAAGTGCAATTTGACCAAGATTGTCAGACTTAAAAAGATTTTAAAAAGAACCTAGTTCTTTACTATTTACAAGAGACACAGTTTAATTACAAGAACACAGAATAGTTGAAAGTAAAGGATGGAAAAATATACCATGCAAATATTAACCCTTCAAAATAAGCTGACACAGTTACATTAATATCAATGTATATTTTAAGATGAAACAGTTCATAATGATAAGGAGGCCAACTCAACAGTAATATATCATAATCTGGAATCTATATGTACTTGATAAAATAGCTTCAATCTATATGTAGCAAAAATGGACAGAAAAAATAGACAAATACACACTCATAGTTAGAAAATTCCACACCTATCTCAATAGCTAATAGGACAAGCAACCAAAAATCAGTGAGACTAAAGATCTGAGCAACAATTAAACATATATACATATGAGACCATTGAATCTATTAGGACCGATGACAGGTATGTTTTTTCAAGTGCGCATGGGCTATTTACCAAAATTGACCCTTTGCTGGGCTCTAAGCTACAATACATTGCAAAAGATTGAAGTTATTCAGAGCATACCTTCTAGCCACAGTGGAATTAAACTAGATGTCAGTAACGAAAAGATAACTAAAAAATTAACTTCTAGGAAATTTAAACTCTAAGGTAGTATATACATTCTCTGGATCAAAACTGAGAACTAACTTGATAGAACAAAGAATAATTTAGAATAGTTTTTATATAGGAGGGTCTTAGAATGAAAAGTTCATAAAAAAACTTTACTTATCTTAATAATGATTATCATTGTTTGAGTGCCTGCTAAATGCTGTTACCTGCTAGGCGTTTTACTCAATTTATCCCTTATAGCAGCCTGTGAGATAGGTTAGGAGGCAGAAAAAAATGACCGATACCATCTGAGTTCCTAGGGCATCCCGTGTGTGATGGGGCTGGCAACAGTCATCCTGGATGATGTAATCTCTTGCTTCAGGGACAGACACTGTGAAATAGCTTACTCAATTATTTCCCTTAATCCTTCCTCAATAATAATTACTCAATCTGTTCTGCTTTTATCCTCATTTTACAGATGAGGAAACTATAGCTTAGAAGGGTTAGGGACTTGCTAGAGCTCACTAATACGTGGTGAAATCAGGCTTCGGCACTACCCAATACTGCCTCAACAGGGGACTTTGTATAAGTGACCCAATGGCAGTTGGGCTCTGAAGACTGAAAAAGTTGCTCTGCTGTTAGATTTATGCTTTTCAGAATATGTTCTTAATGAAAGTTTCACCTGACTTGTTATCTAGTCTGAAATCTAAAGAGGAACTGGTGTATGGAAAGTTGGTAACCAGCACAAGAGAATTAAAAGGAGTTATTTTTACTCAGACTCGAGTATCACTTTAAACAAGACGTGAAACAAAACAAATTCTCAGGCTCATTAAGGTTAAGTGATAGAAAAGGCTGTGACTGTCTCTGTTGGCTTAGTTGTTCTAGAACAACATCCTGTTGTTCTTTAGTATTAGCACAAAAGATAATTTGGGAGACAAAATAGAGATGTGCCACAGAATAAGATCACTAGTGACTCTTTGATTTGTTTATTTCACAAGAAGCAGCTTAAGCACCTCAGTATACTTTGGTATAAGTCTTCTTTAGTTACCCATAGGTATAATTTATATCAAAGCAAACGCAACTTAGAACTTCAGCTCCTTGAGAAATACTCAATAAGAGTTGGTTTCCTGAAAGTCATACCTAGGTGTTTGTGGGGAGAGAGAAAGGATAGCCACAGAGCAAGCAATGGCTAAGAATGTTAATGTGGCCAGCAATATTTAGCTAACTTGTTTCTCAACCTTTTCTTTCACAGGAAAATCTCTAACTTCCAAGGTCCCACCAACAGTTCAGAAACCTACCACAGTAAATGTTCCAACTACAGAAGTCTCACCAACTTCTCAGAAAACCACCACAAAAACCACCACACCAAATGCTCAAGGTACAGAGACTCCATCAGTTCTTCAAAAACACACCACAGAAAATGTTTCAGCTACAAGAACCCCACCAACTCCTCAGAAACCCACCACAGTAAATGTCCCAGCTACAATAGTCACACCAACACCTTAGAAACCCACCACAATAAATGTTCCAGCTACAGGAGTCTCATCAACACCTCAAAGACACACCATAGTAAATGTTTCAGCTACAGGAACCCTACCAACTCTTCAGAAACCCACCAGAGCAAATGATTCAGCCACCAAATCCCCAGCAGCAGCTCAGACATCTTTCATATCAAAAACCCTATCTACAAAGACCCCTTCTGCAGCTCAGAATCCCATGATGACAAATGCTTCTGCTACACAGGCCACACTAACAGCCCAAAAATTCACCACAGCAAAAGTTGCATTTACGCAGAGTCCTTCAGCAGCACGTAAGTCCACTAATGTACATTCCCCAGTGACTAATGGTCTCAAGAGTACACAAAGATTCCCTTCTGCTCATATTACAGCAACACGGAGTACACCTGTTTCCAGGACAACCAAGCATTTTCATGAAACAACCCCAAATAAAGGAAGTGGAACCACTTCAGGTCAGTTGACACTGTTCAGGTTTACTGAGTATGGATCTAATGTGCTATGGTGGAAATATGAACTTGACCAAGATTGCAGGATTAAATGGTCTCTAATTTATTGTAGCCAGGGTTTTTCATACTAATACTTTTTACTTTATTTGGAAGCGGACTTGGATTGTACTAGGGCAAATCTTTAAAAAAAGAAACATTTACAATAATAGAGAAAAAGACTGTGGCCCCATTAAAAAAATGCTAAATTAAGATTGGTAAAAAAAAAAAAATTCTGTTTCCTGTAGTAGTTTTAGGGAGTCAACGAATTATTCAAGACCCCTTCAAAGAACCAAATATGTACTGTCTTTAAGGCTGAGTCCTGGGTCTGGTTCATTGATAGAGATCCATCCCTCAAAGTATGCTAAGGAATCTTCCCGGATTCCCTAGAGTTGCAGATCTGCTAAAGCATCTCAATAGTGTCGTCTAAGTAATTGAAAATACAGAGATCCTTTCAAATAGTTCGTATTATTACAAGGCTCTATAAACGATAGGTTCTCAGTGGCACCAAGTAATTGTGTTTTATCTATAGTTTTACCCATTATGACCGTATTTTCAAAATGATTTTATATATTTCATAATTGTTACCTTGAAGCCTATTTTGCCAGCACCTGGATATTTTTAAGAATTTAAACATTATGGATGTTATCGTTAAAGTTCCCTTAAAACATTTCCCCAGCCCATTTTTCTCCCTCTAAGGCAATTACTGCCCTGAAACTGATGTGCTTACTTCCTGTCTGTTTTCATTCTTATACTCCATGTTTCCATAAGTAGTACATAATAATGTTTCATATTTTTAAAATAATTTACAGAAACTGTGTATGTTTCATTACCTCTTAGCACTCAGCATTGGTTTTGTGGCTTACATTGATTAATTTAGATTTACTATACTAATTTTAATTCTTTATGTGGTTTTTTTACTTCTTTACAATTTTATGACTTCTCTTGGTCTAAAATTTCTAGGTTGAACACGTCCAGTTTTTAATAGGGCAAGGCAAAGAGAAATAAGCATCACTTATAAATTTGTTATAGAACTAACTTTATTGACATATTTCCTTCTGTAAAAAGTATAAGATAATTTAAGACATTTAAACTGAACCTGATGAGTCAATTATAATATATCAATATTTGGGATCAAATTTTACTCTTAGGTACAATTAATTTACTCTTTCAGGGCACAATATAAAAAAATTGTAGCCACCACTTACTGAGTATATACTATAGTGATATGTTCCGTTCACCTTCTGTTTGATGCCACTCGTCTGTACCACAACCTTGCAAAGTATCTTCAGATTGATTTTATAGATGAGGAATTAGAGGCTTAGAGATTAATTCATCCAGTTCATATCCAGTGCACAGTTTAATCCTGCACTTTTTCTGCTGAGTAATATTGCTTGTTCTAAATGGCACTCTTGAGTCAATGTGTTCACCTCGCTTAGGAGAGCAGCTTATTTATTGTTATAAATATGCTTATCTGAAAGTAAATTTATTTTTGCAATGCCCCATCCGTAGTCATTGAAAGATATAAATAATAAGGTGATATGGCATTTTTGAGTTTTGATATAGTCTGCTAAAAGGGACTTAGTCGTCTTATAGTTTCTTGTTAGTAGGATTGGATCAGCAATTATTTACTGTTTAAGTTTTCAAACATGTTTCTTGCCCTCAAGTCCTATAACCAAATTTAAATGGCATTTGTTTTGGTAATCAATAACTCTTTATCATAATTTATATTTACAGTGTTGATTCTGTTGAACAGGTATAGACAGTAATGTTTACATTCTACTTGATTAAGTTAATGTGTAATTGTTTTTATAAATTTATAATTATTTCATTTGTGGAAATTTGAGTTGCTTTCGAGTTTTCTAGTGTAGTTTATTGATAGTATATGAAATTGCTAGCAAATCAATGACTTTAACAAATTTTTGTTGTTAATCCTTTTTTTCCCCTTCGTCTGTAGGTACTACCCGTCTTCTATCTGGTAAGTTTGGCTCTCAGGCCATTAAAAGAAATTGTTTTCACTGTGGGATATACAATCCATATTCCTGGGAGATAATATTGTCTTCTTGTTTTTAAAAAAATGTATCCTGCAATTTATTTTTAAACTTTTTAGTATGGAAAACTTTAAACGTCACTCAAATAGGGAAAATAGTACAGTGAATCCTCATATACTCGCTCGGATTCAGCAATTTTCAACTCATGGATACCCACTTCACCCACACTCCCTGGATTATTTGGAAGATAATCCCAGACATCGTATCATTTCCTTCATAAACATTTCACTAAGTAACCTTTATAAAAACATAACCATGTAGCATACCTAAAAAAATCCAGTAATTCCTTAATATCAGCAAATATTTAGTCAATATCCAAACTTCCCTGATTATCTTATAATTTTTTAATTGATACATAATGTTTTATATATTTATGAGGTACATGTGATATTTTGTTACATGCATGGACTGTGTGATTCTCAAGTTGGTATTTGGGGTATTCATCACCTTGAGTATTATTTTTGTGTGTTGGAAACATTTTAGGTCCTTTCTTCTAGTGACTATGAAAAATATATCACACATTATTGCTAACTATACTCACCCTACTCTGCTATTGAATATTAGAATGTAATCCTTCTATCTAATTGTATGTTTATACCCATCGGCCAAAGTCTCTTCATCCTCCCTCCTACTCACACACTTTTCTCAGCCTCTGGTATCTAACATTCTTCTCTCTACCTCCATGAGAACTTTTTTAGGTCTCACATGTGAGTAAGAGCATGTGATATTTGTCTTTTTTGCTTGGCTTATTTCATTTAATATAATGGCCTCTAGTTCCATTCATGTTGCTGCAAATGACATAACTTTATTCTTTTTATGGCTGAATGTATTTCATTCTATATATGCTAGATTTGTTTTCTTTCTTTTCTTTTTTTTATTTTTATTTTTTTTTTGAGACAGGTTCTCGTCCTGTCACCCAGGCTGGTATGCGGTGGTGTGATCGTAGCTCACTGCAGTCTCGAACTCCTGGGTTCAAGCGATCCTTCCACTTCAGCCTCCCAAGTAGCTGGTACTACAGGTGTGTGCCACGACACCCGGCTAAGTTTTTGAAATTTATTTTTTGTAGAGACAGGATTTTCCTATGTTGCCCAGGCTGGTTTCAAACTCCTGGCCGTAAGCGATTTTTCCGGCCTCCCAAAACGTTGCGATTATAAGTGTGAGCCACTGCACCTGGCCCCACATTTTCTTTATCCATTTGTACATTGATGGACACTTAAGATGATTCCATATCTTTGCTATTGTGAATAGTGCTTCAATAAATATGTGAATGCACATATCTTTTTGATATATTGGTTTTATTTTCCTTTGGATAAATACCCAGTAGTGGGATTGCTGGATCCTAAGATAGTTATATTTTTTTATGTTTTCAGGAACCTCCATATTGTTTTCCACAGTGGTTGTACTAATTTACATTCTCACCAACAGTATATAAGATTTCCCTTTTCTTCACGTCCTCACCAGCGTCTGTTATTTTTTGTCTAAAAATGGCCATTCTAACTGAGGTTAAGAACTGATAGCTCATTGTGGAGCTTGATTTGCATTTCCATGATGATTAGTGATGAGCAGTTTTTCATATACCTGCTGAGAAATGTCTGTTCATGTCTTTTGCCCACTTTTTAGTGTGATTATTTGTTTTTCGCTAGTAAGTTGAGTTCGTTGTATATTCTGGATATTAGTACCTTTACAGATGAATAGTTTATAGATATTTTCTTCCATTTAGCAGGTTGTCTCTTCACTCTGTTGATTGTTTCCTTTGCTGTACACAAGCTTTTTAGTTTAATATAGTCCTATTTATCTATTTTTGTTTTTATTGTCTATGCTTTTGAGGTTTTAGCCATTAAACCTTTGCCTAGACTAATGTCCTGTAGCATCTTCCTGATGTTTTCTTCTAGTATTTTTATAGTTGTGGATCTTATGTTTAAGTTTTTAATCATCTCGATTTGATTTTTGTACATGGTGAGGGGCAGAGGTCCAGTTTCATTCTTCTGTATTTTCCCAGCACTATTTATTGAAGAAGGTATCCATTTTCCAATGTATGTTCTTGGCACCTTTGTAAAAAAATCAGTTAGCTATAAATATGTGGATTTATTTCTGGGTTCTCTATTCTGTTCCATTATTCTGTGTGCCTGTTTTTATACCAATACCATGCTGTTTTTGGTTACTATAACCTTATATTTTGAAGTCAGGTAGCGTGATGCTGCCAGCTTTGTTTTTGCTCGGGTTGTGTTAGCTCTTTGGACTCTTTTGGTTCCACAATCATTTTAGGACTTTTTTTTTTCTATTTCTGTGAAAAATGGCATTGATATCTTGATAGGGGTTGTACTGAATCTTTAGATTGCTTTGGCAGTGTAGTCATTTTAACAATAATAGCTCTTCCAGTCCGTGAGCATGGGATGTCTTTCCCTTTGTGCCCTCTTCGATTTCTTTTATCTATGTTTTGTAGTTTTCCTTGTAGGGGTCTTTCACCTCCTTAGTTAAATCTGTTCCTAGGTATTTTATTTATTTTTTTAGTTATTGTCAATGGAATTGCCTTCTTGATTTCTTTCTCAGTTTGTTCATTATTGTATAGAAATGT
Source organism: Homo sapiens (assembly GCF_000001405.40). Classification (NCBI taxonomy): domain Eukaryota; kingdom Metazoa; phylum Chordata; class Mammalia; order Primates; family Hominidae; genus Homo; species Homo sapiens. The sequence goes on from NC_000001.11 coordinate 207,342,066, forward strand.
TATTGATTTTTGTATGTTGATCTTGTTTCCTGCAACTGTACTGAATTTATCAGATCTAAGAGTTTTTGGTGAAGTCTTTAAGGATTTTTTTTTACATATAAAATCGTATCATTAAAAAAGAGGGACAATTTGACTTCCTCTATTCCAGTTTGGATGCCTTTTATTTCTTTCTTTTGCCTGGCTGCAAGTTAATAAATGAAAACTTGGTTCTCTATGAGCCAAATGAAACTTGGTTCTTCAATGAAATGGAAACTAGGGCTTACAGCATTATGTTGAATAGAAGTGGTGAAAGTAGACATCCTTCTCTTGATCCAGTTCTTAGAAGAAAGGCTTTCAGCTTTTCCTCATTCAACAGAATATTAGCTGTGGGTTTGTCATGTATGACCTTTATGATGTTAATATGCTTCTTCTATGCCTAGTTTGTTGAGAGTTTTATTGATTTCTATGTGTTGAATCATCCTTGCATCCCTGGTCGAAATCCCACTTGGTCTTGGCATACTAATTTTTTGATGTGGTGTTGGATTTGGTTTGCTAATACTTTGCTGAGAATTTTTGTGTCTATATTCATCAAGAGTATTGGCCTGTGATTTTGTTGTTCTTGTTGTGTTCTTGTCTGGTTTTGGTATCAGGGTAATGCTGGCCTTATAGAATGAGTTAGGGAAAGTTTCCTCCTCTTCAATTTTTTGGAATTGTTTCAGGAGAATTGGTATTAGTTCTCTTTTGTATGTTTGGTAGCATTTGGCTTTGAATCCATCCAGTCCTGGGCTTTTCTTTGTCAGGAGACTTTTTATTACAATTCAGTCTTACTACTCATTATTGGTCTGTTCAGATTTTCTGTTTCTTCCTGACTCAGTCTTGATAGGGAGCATGTCTCCAAGAATTTATTCATTTCCTCTAGGTTTTCCAGTTTGTCAATGTATAGGTGTTTATAATAGTCTCTGATATTTTGTATTTCTGTGGTATCAGTTGTAATGTCTCTTTTTTCATTTCTGATTTTATTTGGGGCTTCTCTCTTTTTTTCTTGGTTAGTCTAGCAAGTACTTTATCAGTTTGGTTTATCTTTTCAAAAAAACAAGTTTTCACTTTATTGTTTTTTAGTCTCTATTTTGTTTAGCTCTGCTCTGATTTTTCTTACTTCTTTCCTTCTGCTAATTTTGGGGTTGGTTTGTTCTTCCTTCTCTAGTTCCTTAAGATGCATTGTTAGATTGTTTATTTGAAATCTTTCTACTTTTTTGATGTAATCATTTATTGCTGTAAACTTCCCTGTTAGCACTGCTTTTGCTATGTCTGATAAGTTTTGCTACACTGTTGCCATTTCTATTTTTTCAAGAAATTTTTTGTCTAATCCTGAATTTCTCCCTTGACCTAATGGTCATTCAGAAGCATGTTGTTTAATTTTCATTTATTTGTACGGTTTCCAAAGTTCCTGTTGTTATTAATTTCTAGTTTAATTCCATTATGGTTTGAGAAGATACTTGATACAATTTTGACTTTTTCAAATTTATTGAGACTTGTTTGGTATCCTAACATATGTTCTATTCTGGAGATTGTTTCATGTGCCATTGAGAAAATTCTGTAGCTATTGGGTGAACTCTTCTGTTAGTGTCTGTTAGGTCCATTTGGTCTAATGTGCAATTTAAATCCAATGTTTCTTTGTGAATTTTTTGTCCAGATGAGCTAATGCTGACAGTGGGATGTTGAAGTTCTTAACAATTATTGTATTGGAGTCTATCCCTTTAGATTGGACAATATTTGCTTTATATGTTTGGGTACTCCAGGATTGGGTGCATACATACTTAGAATTGTTATATCCTCTTGCTGAATTGATCTCTTTGTCAATTATATAATGACCTCCTTTGTCTCTTTTTACTGTTTTTTACCTAAAGTCTGTTTCATCTGATATAAGTACAGCTACTCCTGTTTGTTTTTGGTTTGTGTTAGCATGGAGTATCTTTTTCCATCTCTTTACTTTCAGTCACAATGTGTTTTCACAGATGAGATGAATTTCTTGAAAGAAACGTATAGTTGGGTTGTGTTTTTGCATCCATTCAGCCAGTATACATCTTTTAAGAGGAAAGTTTAATCTGTTTACATTCAGGGTTATTGATATGTGAGGAATTATTCCTGTCATCTTATTAATTGATTTCTGGTTGTTTTGTTCCTTTTGTTCTCTCTTATTATTGTGATGTAGAGTTTTTCTTTCATAACATTTTAGTCTTTTCTCTTCTTTGTGTGTTTGCTCTACCAGTGGTTTTTAAAATTTCTGTGTGTTTTCATGATTGTAGATATCATTCTTTCTCTTCTGGGTATAGCACTCCCTTAAGCATTTCTTGTAAGCCATCTCATGGTGATGAATTCCATCATGGTGATTAATTCCATCAGCTTTCTTTTGTCTGGGAAAGACATTGTTTCTCCTTCATTTATGAAGGATAACTTTCCTAATCCTTGGTTGGTAGTCTTTTTCTTTCAGCGCTTTGAGTATATCATCCCGTTCTCTCCTGGCCTGTAAGGTTTCTGCTGAGAAATCCATTGTTAGTCTGATGGGTTTCCTTTATAAGTGACTAGATGCTTTTCCCTTGCTGTTTTTAGAACTCTCTCTGTCTTTGACTTTTGACAGTTTGAGTATAGTTTGTCATGGAGAAAACCTTTTTTTTTTTTTGGTTTTGAGACAGAGTCTCATTCTGTCACTCAGCCTGGAGTACAGTGGCGCAATCTCAGCTCACTGCAGCCTCTGCCTCCCAAGTTCAAGCGATTCTCCCACCTCAGCCTCCTGAGTAGTAGCTGGGATTACAGGTGTGTGTTACCACACCCATCTAATTTTTGTATTTTTAATAGAGACAGGGTTTCACCATGTTGGCCAGTCTGGTCTCGAACTCCTGACCTCAGGTGATCCACCTGCCTCGGCCTCCCAAAGTGCTGGGATTACAGGCATGAGCCACCGCACCGGGCCAGAGAAGACCTTTTTAAATTGTATCTACTTGGTGATCTCTGAGCCTCCTGTGTCAGGATGTCTACATTTCTTGTTAGACTTGAGAAATTTTCCTCTGTTGTTTTAGTAATAGATTTTCTAATCCTTTCACTTTCTCTTCACCTTCTGAGACTCCTAAAATTTGAATAGTTGGCCACTTTAGGGTGTCCCATATGTCATGTAAACTTTGCCCATTTTTTTATTCTTTTTTCCTTATTCTTATCTGACTGTGTTATCTCAAAAGACCTGTCTTCAAGTTCTGAGATTCTTTCTTCTGCTTGATCTAGCCTATTATTGATGCTTTCAAGTATATTATGTATTTAATATTTCATCAAGTATATTATGTATTTCATCAATAAATTATTTCCAGAAGTTGTTTGGTTCTTTTATATGTATCTTTTTTTGATAAACATCTCATTAATATCCTGAATTGTTTTTCTGATTTCTTTGTATTTTTTTAAAACAAATTTTAAAGTTTGTATCTCACCTCCCTGAGCTTTTTTAATATCACAACTTTGAATTCTTTTCCCAGAATTTTGTAAGTTTACTTTTGATTGGGATCTGTTGCTGGAGAATTATTGTGTTCCTTTGGTGGTATCATATTTTCTTGTTTTTTCACGTTTCCTGCATCCTGAAGTTGATATCTGTGCATCTGATGTGATATTTGCTGTTTCTAATTTTTCAAATTTGCTTTTGTAGGGGAGGACTTTTCCTGAAGATGTATTTATGGTGTCAGTTAGGTGGGGCACTTTGGCTTTAATTCTGGGTGCATGCAGTAGTGTAGTTTCTGTATGACTTTCAGCTGTAAATATCATCAGTGGTATCTGTCATTTCCTCAGTGCTTTAGGATGCGGTTACTAGTGGAGATTTGCTAGGGAATAGGATGCCATGTGGGCCAATGTTCGGACCCAAGTGTTGGCAGTGGTGGGCTGAGTTTGCCTGTCCTTGGGCCCAGGGTGATGTTGCTGGCACCAGTGTTAGCAAGCCCAATCAGGCCAGTTATTGGGTCTCCAGGTGGCTCACTTGGGTGCCAGAAATGGCGGGTGACCTGGTTCTCAGGCTACTTGGCAGCAAGTGGGGGCATGGGTGATGGCAGTAGTAGTGGTGGGACAACCCTGTGGGACACAAGCAGTCTGTGCCAGTGTTGGCTGTGGGTGCGGTGATTGGGTGGATCAGTTTCCAGGTCTGCAGGTGGCTTACCAGCTGTGATGTTAGTGGCAGGTTGAGTGGGCCTGACTTCAGACACCAGGAAGAGTGCTCAGCTGCTATTGGTGGTGGACTGGCTGAGCATCCGGGTACCTGATGGCAGGCTTGTGTACTGAGAGGGTGACGCTGGGCCAGATGGACTTGTCCTCAGGCCTCCCTGTGGTGCATGTGAGTGCTGGCTGTGGTAGGAAGAGGTAGAGTATTCCTAGGCTACTGGTGGAATGCTTAGGTGAGGACAGTGTGGCTGTGCTGTGGACCAGCTACTTGGGACAGCAGTGTTGTTTTCAGTTGGGAGCAGCCACAGAGAGGTGGCTGGGGCACATGCAGTTTGCTCATGCCTCAGCCCAAAGCAGCCAGCAGCAGCCATAGCCGCATGCACTGGAATTTGTCCTCAGGGAACCAGAAAATGCCTGGCTGCTCCTCTATTGGGGGTGTCAGGTCGCTGCCAGTGGCTCCTGCTTTGGCTTAGGCAACAGTGGCCACAGAGCAAGATGCAGTCTGGGAGGGGCTGGGCTCTCAAAATAGTCTTGTGCTGTGGCTGCTTAGGACTCAGTGGTTTATAGTACTCAGTGTGAACTTACTCTCTGGAGTAATGCCATCACACTGTCTCCAGGCAGCTTCCTATGTTAGATCTAGAGCCTACGAGAATCAAGGGACTCCTGTAGCTAGGATTGTGGGAGTCTTCAGAGGGAATGTGGACTGCTGGGGTTCTCTCACTTACTCTTTTCCTGCATTAGGGAGTCTCTCCAGGCTTCCAGGCAATCTCAGCCAAACAGGCTGCCTTGCTTCTGTCTCCTTCCTTGCTTTGGTGCATCCTGTCACTTGTTTGTTAAATTCTAGTGTTCTCTCTTTGATGATCTCTTCAAAATGTGATTATGTAATTCCTGCTTAGGTTTCTCTCCATGGAAGAGGAGAAGACCAGAGGCATCTAGTCAGACATCTTGAAGCCACTCCCCATGATACTGTCTTAGGAAAACAATCAACATGTAGCATTCATGGATACCAAAGGGAAAATGGGTAAACACATTTTTTTTTTTTTAGACGGAATCTCGCTCTGTCACCCAGGCTGGAGTGCAGTGGCGTGATCTCGGCTCACTGCAAGCTCTGCCTCCCGGGTTCACGCCATTCTCCTGCCTCAGCCTCCCAAGTAGCTGGGACTATAGGCGCCTGCCACCACACCCGGCTAATTTTTTGTATTTTTCAGTAGAGACGGTGTTTCACCGTGTTATCCAGGATGGTCTTGATCTCCTGGCCTCGAGATCTGCCTGCCTCGGCCTCCCAAAGTGCTGGGATTACAGGCGTGAGCCACCGCACCTGGCCAGGTAAACACATTTTTTTTCTTCCACCTTTTATTTTAGGTTTGGGAGGTACAGGTGAAGGTTTGTTACATGGGTAAATTGTGTGTCATTAGGGTTGAGTGTACATAATATTTCATCACCCAGGTAGTGAGCTTAGTACCCAATAGGTAGTTTATTGATTCTCACCCTCCTCCCACCTTCCATTCTCAAATAAGCCCTGGTGGCCATTGTTCCCTTCTTTGCATCCATGTGTACTCATTGTTTAGTTCCCACTTATAGGTGAGAAGATGCAGTATTTGGTTTTCTGTTCCTGCATTAATTCACTTAGGATAATGGTTTCCAGCTGCATCCATATTACTGCAAAGGACATGATTTCATTCCTTTCTATGTTTGTGTAATATCCCGTGGTGTATATATACCACATTTTCTTTATCCAGTTCACCACTGATGTGCATCTAGGTTGATTCCATGTTATTGTGAAAAGTGCTGATGAACATATGTGTGCATATGTCTTTATGGTAGAATGATTTTTGTTGGTTTGGGTATATACCCAATAATGAGATTGCTAGGTCACATGGTGGTTCTAAGTTCTTTGAGAAATCTCCAAACTGCTTTCCACAGAGGCTGAACTAATTACATTCCCACCAGCAATGTATAAGTGTTCTCTGTTTTCCACAACCTTACCAACATTTGTTATTTTTTCACTTTTTAATAATAGCCATTCTGTCTGCTATGAGATGGTATCTCATTGTGGTTTTGATTGCATTTCTCTAATGATTAGTGATGTTGAGCATTTTTTTCATATGCTTGTTGGCCTCATGTATGTCTTCTTTTGAGAAGTGTCTGTTTATGTCCTTTGCCCATTTTTTAAGGGTTGGTTTGATTTTTGTTTGTTGATTTGTTTAAGTTCCTTAGAGATTTTGAATATTAGAACTTTGTTAGATGCATAGTTTGCAAATATTTTCTCCTTTTCTGTAGGTTGTCTGTTTTCTCTGTTGATATATATTTTTTTGCCATGCAGAAGCACTTTAGTTTAATTATGTCCCACTTGTCAATTTTTGTTTTTGTTGCAATTGCTTTTGGAGACCTCATCATGAAATATTTACCAACACCTATGTCAGAATGGTATTTCCTAGGTTTTCTTCTAGAGTTTTTATACTTTTAGGTTTTAAGTTTAATTCTTTAATCCATATTGAGTTGATTTTTGTATATGGTGAAAGGTAGGGGTCCATTTTCAATCTTCTGCATATGGCTAGCCAGTTATAGCATTTATTGAATAGAGAATCCATTCCCCATTGCTTGTTATTGTCGACTTCATTGAAGATCAGATGGTTGTAGGGGTGTGGCTTTATATCTGGGTTTTCTAACCTCTTCCATTGGTCTATGTGTCTATTTTTGTACCAGTACCATGCTGTTTTGGTTACTGTAGCCTTGTAATATAGTTTGAAATCAGGTAGTGTGATGCTTCCAGCTTTGTTCTTTTTACTTACGGTTGTTTTGGCTATTTGGGTTCTTTTTTGATTCCATATGAATTTTAGAATGTATATTTTTTAATTCTCTGAAAGATATCATTGGTAGTTTGATAGGAATAGCATTGGATCTATAAATTGCTTTAGGCAGTATGGCCCTTTTTAAAAATTTTGTATTAATTTTTTTTTTTTTTGAGACAGAGTCTCACTCTGTCACTCAGGCTGGAGTGCAGTGGCATGATCTTGGTTCACTGCAACCTCCGTCTCCTGGGTTCAAGTGATTCTCTTGCCTCAGCCTCCCAAGTAGCTACGATTACAGGTGCACACCACCACACCCAGCTAATTTTTGTATTTCTAGTAGAGATGAGGTTTCACCATGTTGGCCAAGCTAGTCTCAAACTCCTGACCTCAAGTGATCCACCTGCCTCAGCCTTGCAAAGTGCTGGGATTACAGGCATGAGCCACCATGCCCGCAGTATGGCCCTTTTAAAAATATTTATTCTTCCTATGCATGAGCATGGAATATTTTTCCATTTGTTTGTATTGTCTCTGTCTTCTTTGTTTTGTATTTCTCTATAGAGATCATTCACCTCCCTGGTTAGCTGTATTCATAGGTATTTTATCCTTTTGTGGCTATTGTGAATAGGATTGCATTCTTGATTTGGCTGTCAGCTTGACATTGTTGGTGTATAGAAATGCTTCTGATTTTTGTACCCCGAAGCTTTACTGATGTTGTTTAACAGTTCTAAAAGCTTTTGGGCAGACTATGGAGTATTCTAGGTTTAAACTCATATCATCTGTGAAGAGAGATAGTTTACTTCCTCTCTTCCTATATGGATGCCTTTTATTTCCTTGCCTGATTGCTGTGGCTAGGATTTCCAGTACCATGTTGAATAGGAATGATAATAATGGACATCCTTGTCTTGTACTGGTTTTCAAGGTGAATGCTTCCAGCTTTTGCTCATTCAGTATGATGTTGGCTGTGGGTTTTTCCTGGCGGCTCTTATTATTTTGTGGTATGTTCCTTTGATGCCTAGTTTGTTGATGACTTTTAACATGAAGGGATGTTGAATGTTGTCAAAAGCCTTTTCTACAACAATTGAGATGATCATGTGGTTTTTTTGTTTGTAGTTCTGTTTATGTGATGAATCACATTTATTGATTTGGATATGTTGAGCCAACCTTGCATCCCAGGAATAAAGCCTACTTGATCGTGGTAAGTTAGGTATTTGATGTGCTGCTGGATTTGATCTGCTAGTATTTTGTTGAGGATTTTTGCATTTACTTTCATCAGGGATGTTGGCCTGAAGTTTTCTTTTTTTGTCCTGTCTCTTTGCCAGATTTTGGTATCAGTGTGATGCTGGCCTTATAGAATGAGGAGTCCCTCCTCCTTGATTTTTGGCATAGTTTCAGTATGATTGGTACCGGCTCTTGTTTGTATGTTTGGTGGAATTTGTCTGTGAATCCATCTGGTACAGGGCTCTTTCTGGTTGGTAGGTTTTTTAAATTACTGATTCAATTTAAGAACTTGTTATTGGTCTGTTCAGGTATTTAATTTCTTCCTGGTTCAATCTTAGGAGGTTGTATTTTTCCAAGAATTTACCATTTCTTCTACGTTTTCTAGTTTATGTACATAGAGGTGTTCAAAATAGTCTCTGAGGGTGTTTTGTATTTCTGTGGGGTTGGTGGTAATGTCCCCTTTGTCATCTGAGATTGTGTTTATTTGGATGTTCTCTCTCTTTATTAATCTAGCTAGTTGTCTATCAATCTTATTTATTCTTTCAAAAAACCAGCTTTGGTTTTGTTGATCTTTTGTATGGATTTTTGCATCTCAATTTTATTCAGTTCAGCTCTGATTTTGGTTATTTTTTTTCTTCTGCTAGCTTTTGGGTTGGTTTGCTCTTGTTTTTTCTACATCCTCTAGAGGTGATGTTACTTTGTTAATTTGAGATTTTTCTAACATTTTGATGTAGGTGTTTAATGCTACAAACTTTCCTCTTGACATTGTTCTGGCTGTGTCCCAGACACTCTGGTATGTTGTATCTTTGTTTTCACTAGTTTCAAAGAATTTCTTGATTTCTGCCTTAATTTTCAGAATGCCAAAAGTCATTCAGGATTAGGTTGTTTAATTTCCATGTTATTGTATAGTTTTAAGAGATCTTCCTGGTATTGATTTATATTTTATGCTGTGGCCTAAGAGTATGGTTAGTATGATTTTGGTTTTTTGAATTTGTTTAAAATTGCTTTATGGTTGAGCATGTGGTCAATCTTAGAGTATGTGCTATGTGCAGATGAGAAGAATGTATATCCTGTTGTTCTTGGGTGTAATGTTATGTAGATGTCTGTTAAGTCCATTTGGTCAAGTGTCAAGTTTAGGTCATGAATATCTTTGTTAGTTTTCTGCCTTGATTATGTGTCTAACATTGTCAATGGGGTGTTGAAGTCTCCCACTATATTGTGTGGTTATTTCCATCTCTTCATAGGTCTTTAAGAACTTGTCTTATGAATCTGGATGATCCAGTGTTGGATCTGAAAAGAGTAATAAAAACATTATCATTACTATCATTATTATTTATTGTGGTTATTTTATATTTTGAATGAACTTCTAAGCTAAAAGATTTATCTTGAAAGATTCCAACTGTTGGAATTCACTTTGTTTTAAATAGAAATAAATGTGTTTCAAATGAAAGTCTGATGATTTAATGATCACAAAAGTGATGAGTTTAATAAATGAGTTTTTTCTCACCTGCTCAATGGCACTCAATGAAGGTTTGAAATGCCTTTTTTTCCTGAAATTCTTTAAGTATTATACCCTTTGATTTTCTAGAAAACTTTCCTTAGTCGGCATTCCAGCTTGTGTTAAAAAATAAAGAGGAAGTCCTTCCTTCTTAAACTGGACATATGGCAACATTTTTTGTGTGTGATTTCATATTTGTAGGACATAAACCTGAAAATTATATTCATTAAATTTATTATGTGAATGAGGTTACTCTTCTTTAAAGATAAATTAACTCTACTGCAAGAAAATTGTTTCATCAATTACACTGCAATGTAAGTAAAATGATACAGATGATCTTTGAATTTTGGAAGTATTTGATTTTTTTTTCCTATTCTGCTAAGGAAGAAAGACTGACTAATGTTACAGAACTTTCTAATTTGCCTTGTAAATGAAGCATGTGTTGTGAATTTTAAATCTTTTCTTCCGTTGGCTTTGTATAAGTGTTTCCCAATTTTTTTTTGTGGGGGGTGGGGGGTGCGTTAATTCTTGCTCTCTTCTCACCAAAGACCTTTTTAGACATTTTTTTTTGATCATCCTCCACCACACATATACTGTAAATCAGTTTATGTATCACATATATATCTGCACTCTGTACTTAAAAAAGGAAAATTTTTTTTTAACTTTCATCAGGTATCACCCCCATTGAGAATGCTTGCTTTCTGTTGGTTTTGTTTTTATTGTTTTTAAAGACAAAATCATATAGAAGAAAGAGCTTAACCTCTGGAGTCAAACCAGTCGGATGTTGGTTTGAATCCTGTTTTTTTCACTTAGTAATTATTCAACCCAAGTGATTAAGTGATTAACTTAATCTCTCTGAGACTCAGTTTTCTCATTTAAGAGATAGAGATTGTGATTCCTATGTGAAGTATTTGAAGCTTAATGTGATTAGTGGGTATGAAAACTCCAAGCACAGTCCTAAAAGTTGAATAAATATTAGCTTAAGGAAGTCACTGCATGCAATCACTATTATTTTCCTAAGCTGGATTTCTGATAATTTCATCACTCCCTCTGGCCACACCAAAGAATAAGAACAGTCTTTTATTCAGGTAATATTTACATGTTTTCTCTGTGGCAAGTACTGTACTGATTTTTTTTAATGTATTATTTCATATTCTTCTCACAACAATCTTATAATGTAGCATTTTTATCCCATTTTCAGCTAAGATAACTGTGGTTTTGCAAAATTTGTAACTTGCCTTTCACAGAGCTAGTAGGCAATAAATAGAGGCCGATGACTAGTTTCTCTATTACCAGGTTTTTTTTTTTTTTTTTTTTTTTTTGGATGGGGGACAGGGTCTCACTCTGTCACCCAGGCTGGTGTGCAGTGGTGCAATCTCGGCTCACGGCAACCTCTGTTTCCCAGGCTCAAGTGATCTTCCCAGGTACTTTAAAAGATAGAAAGATGCTCATCCTAGTGACAGACCAAGAGACAATACAACCCAAATTGGACAATTAAGGTGCCGTGATTCCCTACAAGTATTGCTTTATTCCCCTCTGTTGCCAAAGTCCTATACTGAGACATTCATAAGTCCCTCATGGGGACTAATAGATCAATTTAAAGAATAATAAATAAGAAGTCAGGAAATATTCAGTGAAATATAGAAAATATTTTTTCTGTATCCCCTAACAATTGTGTACTTATTTATCCTTTAAACTTGAATATGGCATATATTACAGACTAGCCCAAATCTAAATGTACTTTCAAGAGTCTTGACTCTTAAGTAGCTATTTGAAGTTAATAAGATGTGGTTACAGGGGTCTTTATGTCTTATTACATGCCCCTATACATGACAAACTTAAGTCCCATTATAAAGTGACATCAGTTATCTGCCTGTTATTCAGGTTTAAGTCAGATAATATAATCATATAATCTTTCTGTGATACGTTTAGTCTGGAAAAGGAAGTATGTGAATTTCCCTTATTAAAAAAATTGAAGAAATACAGAGGTACAGAAAATCCAACGATGATGGCAAGACACTTAAAGGGTCCTGTGGATGTCTCTCTGAGGAAGCAGAGTTGAATCTGCATTTACAAAATGGAAAATTTAAGGGTTACTCAAGCATACTGTTTTTCAAATCATCTACGAAAATCTCTTCCCAGGGTGCCTTCACTTGTCCACAGGCCCTTTATTCTGTTACATTAAGTATGATATAAGCAAGAACAAAACCTTTCCATAACTTTTTGTTTTCATAGCACATGCATTGCATTTCCACTTTGTTAGCTCTGCAAGTTAGACCTTTTGAAGTGTCTGGGTCATCCCACATTTCTTCAAAAAAGATGATGTGCATCCTCTAGGTCACTCCAGTTCTTGGAGGTAGGTAGATAGAATTCTAAGTTGGGTTCTTTGGCAGTGAAGATGATACCCTATATATTAATGTAGTATCTGTCTAATGTAAATTTTGTTTGATGAATATCAGGTATTTTATTGAAAATATTTCAAACAGTTAAAATTATGGCCTGAATCTGGGGCTAGAAGTGAGTTTTTCTATGGCAATAAACTGACTTACCCTTTCTTGGTCTCAGTTTTCTTATCTGGAAACAAGATATTAAGTGCAATTTAATAAATATTTGTTAAACACTTTCTACTGTTTGCCATGTACTGTGTTAATAATGAGAGGTGATCAAATGAGATAATAGGTGGCAAACTGCTTTGCAATGTTTTCAACACTGCAATACAGTTCTACATGATGGGGAACCTTACTAAAATACTCCTTTTGTGGGGGAGAAAACCTTTTTCTAACATTATGTTATTTTCCCACCTAAGAGCTCTTCAGTTTAATCTTAGGAACATTGGAATCATAATTATTATTTCATTCATTATTTCATACTTTCATTTTTCCCAAGTTGTATAAATCTTAATGTTGATTCACCTTTGGTTTTCTGTAGATACCAAGTGAATTTTGAGATCATAAACAGTTGCCTTTGAACCTGAAAGTTTTGTTTCTAATTTGGGAGATAATATGCTCTTATTAATTTACTGAGAAGATACGTAGAATTTTGTTTTTCATATTTCTGTGTTTTGCCTTGGTTTTCTGTTAAACCATCAGCCTCTACACTTTCTTCTAGAACTATGTATATGTGTTGAGCATTGTTCTGGGAATAGCCTTTTACTTCTGTCATCTGGATGTTCTAGATCACTCTGAATTTTCTGTCTTGATTTAGTATTCAAATAAAAAATAAGATATTGAAAGTGGTGGAATTAGTGGGAACTGGTGACAGAAAGGGGGAAACCCAAAATTTTTTAGGAGCTGTGATTTATTTCATGGATAGTCTCTCTAAGTTAATGATACAATTCTAGGGGATCAGTTAAATAAACTTCTAAAGTAAAATACTGTAAAAACTTACCTGTGGTAGAAATAGCTGTTTTTTAAATCACAATTTTCACATGGCAGTGCAATTGTACAGTGTCTCTATTTTGCTGATTTGGAGCCAAATACACTCATTAGTCACGTTAGATTCAGTTACTATTCTAGTGTCATCTGTCATTTCCTTTGTAGTAAAGACCAATAGAGTTGAGTCCAAGGACACTGGGCAGGGTTGGTGGGGGTGGTGGTGGGAGGGGGGCTGTTGGTGAGGAAAGAGAGAATGAGGATGGTGAGAGAAAAGGGCAAATGGGTGCATTTGAGAAGAAAGATTGTGTAAGCTATAAAAATGATTTGATGTTGATCAACTTATTTGACCAATTATTTGCTGTTGTTCAGCTCAAAATAGTGCTTTGAATCTTAAAAGTGAATATAATTTTTGAAATGAAATTTAATCTACCATAGACTGAACACTAAAAAGCATATTCTGTAGGCAAAGTAAATATAGTTTGCCCTCCAATCTCAGATGATAATAGTACAGGCATATTTCCTGTGATGGAGAAATGTCTACATATCTGTTATATCTACTGTAAACTAGGTAAATGTCCTTCCCATTAACCACATATGTTAATGTTCAACTTCCTTCTGAGACTCAATTTACTCATCTAAAAAATGAAAGTGAACTCTAAGATGCTTTCTAGCTCTAAAATAACATAATTCTGTCACCATATTTGAATGCTCAACGATCAAAACATTTAAAATCGAGCATGATTGGGTTGAAACACTTAAGAAGCCTCTCAAACCTGTCAAAAAATTTTATTTGAGCATTGTGATATTCTAAATATATTTCTTCCTTTTTCTTTCGAAGAAAACAGGACAAATAAAACATGCATTTGTCAAAAATTTGTGACATAAGGAAGCCATATACAAAATGCAATTAATATCTCCTATTTGTAACTCACTTCATAACCAGTATGTATGTCATTGTGAAACTATAATGTAATTTTAATTGCTCATGTTTCTATTAACTGTGTTACCATATCTTTTCCCCTTCAAGGATTTCTTGCTGGTACTCTATTAATTGGTACCCTAATTCTAGTCATTGGACTATGGAAAATCAGAGTGAGCAGAAATTCTGATGATTTTTAAAAATTTATTCCTAGTTTATTTCCAGTAAAATTTGGTACTGTATCAGTAGATGACTCTCTTAGCTTTATTTAAATTTTGGCGTGTCTCTGTATTCATTTTTGTCTGTAATTACTATCCTGGATTAACAGACTTCATGTCTGTTTTTTCTCAATATATTCAAAGGCGCATTTCAAAGCAAAGTGACTTGAAGTCTCATTTTGTGATCTATTAATCCACTGATTTTTTTCCACTCAGTGTAATTTATGATAGTATCTAGTGTTGCACAGAAGCAAAGAAATCTAGGAAAAATCAACCTCTAACATACTGTGAAATTGCCTGTGATTAGGGCTTTTTCTCACTTATATTAATAGATGCCAGTCCAGCTCAAAACAGCACAGTGGTTAAGGCAGCAGACAAATGGGGGAAATATAGTACCTACCTCATATGATTATAATCATATATCAAATGAGTTGCCACCTGTCAAGTGCTTAGAACATTGCTTGGCACATAGTAAGCACTCAGATATTAAAACAACAACAGCACACACACACATCAGTATTATTTAAAATATCTAATCTGCATTGAATATACATAATGTTAAGTATAAATGTCACGATTGGCTCTGATGTGTCCTGTAGACAGATGATGATTTAAATCGACCCTCTTCTGTTTTGTAGTTTTAACTGTTCAGAAAACTAGTTGTGGAATTTATACAAACTTGAGTTATTTCTAAGCTGCCCTAATGCCTGTCCGTTTTTCCCATTAATAAGAAAACTATTAATTTAATGCTGTTATTAAATTGTCTGTTTTAATTCTTTAGATGATGTGACCTATCTCCTTTTTACCCTCTACAATTTTTCTACTTAAATTAAGAATATTACTTAAGCCTATTATAAGTTAAAGCATGTAAATATTCTTTAACTCACTAAATGAGTCAGTCTTGTAGAAAAATATTTGACCATTAGGTCCAGGGGAGTGATTAATAATTTTTACAGGCATTTGTTTAATATCAACAAAATATTCTAGCTGTCATGATAGCAAATATAGTAAGACATAACTTTTTCTCCAGATATATCAGAAACGTTTTAGGAATGTGATTTAGAGCCTAGCAAAAACTCACAGTTAGTACTAAGTCATCTAAAGTGAGTTGGTATGGAAGCATCAGCAAAGCTACTCTGAAAAAAAATAAAACCACCAATCTTACGTACTTTCTTGTACTTGTTCCAACTTTCCTTTTGAAATACTGTTATCAGTTTATCAAGTTATAAAGTATCAATGTATAGAGTATTATCAATTTACCAAAGCTACTGCTTTGAGACTCCCTGGATCGGTGGGAATGGAGACTGGGCGGGGGAGGGCGGAGGGCGGGCGGGGGCAGGGCAGCAAGATGTGATAAGTTTACCAGGTGCTGTCTCTTGGCTTTCATCAGTTTCTTTACATACTTTGGTAAGGTGATTGGCTGTGATACTTGTATGTCCTATTAAGGACATAAAGTACTGGAACATCGAAGGAGGGAATACAGTAATTTCTGCTTATCCTCGGTTGGGGGGCAGGGTGTTTCAAGAACCCCCAGTGAATGCTTGAAACAACAGATAGTGCCTAACCCTATATATGCTGTGTTTTTTCCTGTATGTACATACCTATGAGATAAAGTTTAATTTATAAATGAGGCACAGTAAGAGATTAACACCAACGAATAATCAATTAGAACAATTTATTGTAGCAAAAGTTATGTGAATGGGGTCTCTCTCTCTCTCAAAATATCTTATTGTATTGTACTCACCTATTTTCAGATTGCAGTTGACTGTGGGTAACTGAAACCACAGATAAGCAGACTAATGTATTTGTTTTGAATTGTATTTTGGGGTTTTGCAGTGAACTTAATTGCTTATTTTCTGAATTAGAGGGAAAGTCATGCAAACTCCTAAGAAAGAATTTGTCTTTTTTATGTGCACATAAAAAACACTCCACTTGCTTTATTTTGGAAACATAAGCTGTTGAGGGTAAGAGCTAGCTTTATATATGTTTGGCTAGCCTCCTGATTTCATACTGATTTAATTAAATATTTGATCTTAATTAAGACAGGATATAGTTAATGTGCAAGTGATAATGTGGTTTCATTTAATGATTCTTCATGTTTGCCTATCAGAGGATTGATTTATTTCTTTTAGAAGAGTTAGGTCTGTATGATAAATTTTAGTTTAGGGATGGAAGTGTAAGCAGATGCCTGACTTCGTTTTTTGATTGAAATGACAGTTACATAATTCAATTCAATAGTTTTTTTCTTCTCTACTATTCAGCTCTTATAATGCACATGAGAGCAACAAAGTACTCAATGTTGTGTTTGACCATTTAAGTGTGACTGGTGGTACCTCAGAAATAAGACTTTCTGGTAAATTATAAAAGGTATATATGGTTTAATAAAATTACATTTCTGTATCTTGCAAAATATCCATTAATACCCTTGGCTAGGGGGTTCTTCATGACTTTTAAAGGATAATAGAGGCTTAAGTCTCTGTCACTAGAGTTGTTTTTTTCTTTGTTGAATGACTAATACATTGAATCTCTCATTACTATGACATATCGTCAGTTCTGGACTTGGTAGCAGTAATGCTTATCATCTCATCCTACATTTTGAACTCAGTTTATTGTAACGATTAGATGCTATAATGCCACAAATATTCGGGGGGAAAGGGATGATACATTAGGACTTTTAAAGAGAATGCCTTCATTATGATAATTTGCATCATGAGATGGTTGACCTACCTTGTATTTCTCCTTTTGCTTGGTGGCTTTTAGAGTTTTCAATGTTTAAGAAAAATTATAATATGTGCTAAGATATCCTTTTATAGGTCATGTTTATAGATCTTAAAAGACATCTCATATCTTTATACAAAATTATCACACAAAAATAACTTGGTGTAAATGTATCTGTAAAACTTTCTGAGTGTCTTCATCTCTTAATCTTCTCTTCCACATGTAGTAGTATTCAGGGGTTTTTATTTATTTTTATATTTTTTTAACATCTCCCACACTTAGGAATTCATTGACTTTTAATCTGAAGGTACCTTAATTCATTCTAGCTTAGCCACTGTTCAACTCGAGAAACTAAAAACTCCACGTCACATTTTAGTTGTTGCTGTAGCTGATAAACCCCACCTGTAGAATCTTGTCCATATTCTATTACTCATTATTTTTTTTGTTTTGCACCCCAAATTAACTGATTCTTTTTGGTGATTTATCACATAGTAACTAAAAATTTATATTTATCACTAGTAAATAAAATCATTTTGATTTTAACTTTTTTTTTTTTTTTTTTTTAATTTTCAGGGCACACGTGTTTCACGTTGACAGGTTTGCTTGGGACGCTAGTAACCATGGGCTTGCTGACTTAGCCAAAGAAGAGTTAAGAAGAAAATACACACAAGTATACAGACTGTTCCTAGTTTCTTAGACTTATCTGCATATTGGATAAAATAAATGCAATTGTGCTCTTCATTTAGGATGCTTTCATTGTCTTTAAGATGTGTTAGGAATGTCAACAGAGCAAGGAGAAAAAAGGCAGTCCTGGAATCACATTCTTAGCACACCTACACCTCTTGAAAATAGAACAACTTGCAGAATTGAGAGTGATTCCTTTCCTAAAAGTGTAAGAAAGCATAGAGATTTGTTCGTATTTAGAATGGGATCACGAGGAAAAGAGAAGGAAAGTGATTTTTTTCCACAAGATCTGTAATGTTATTTCCACTTATAAAGGAAATAAAAAATGAAAAACATTATTTGGATATCAAAAGCAAATAAAAACCCAATTCAGTCTCTTCTAAGCAAAATTGCTAAAGAGAGATGAACCACATTATAAAGTAATCTTTGGCTGTAAGGCATTTTCATCTTTCCTTCGGGTTGGCAAAATATTTTAAAGGTAAAACATGCTGGTGAACCAGGGGTGTTGATGGTGATAAGGGAGGAATATAGAATGAAAGACTGAATCTTCCTTTGTTGCACAAATAGAGTTTGGAAAAAGCCTGTGAAAGGTGTCTTCTTTGACTTAATGTCTTTAAAAGTATCCAGAGATACTACAATATTAACATAAGAAAAGATTATATATTATTTCTGAATCGAGATGTCCATAGTCAAATTTGTAAATCTTATTCTTTTGTAATATTTATTTATATTTATTTATGACAGTGAACATTCTGATTTTACATGTAAAACAAGAAAAGTTGAAGAAGATATGTGAAGAAAAATGTATTTTTCCTAAATAGAAATAAATGATCCCATTTTTTGGTATCATGTAGTATGTGAAATTTATTCTTAAACGTGACTACTTTATTTCTAAATAAGAAATTCCCTACCTGCTTCCTACAAGCAGTTCAGAATGCCATGCCTTGGTTGTCCTAGTGTGAATAATTTTCAGCTACTTTAAAATTATATTGTACTTTCTCAAGCATGTCATATCCTTTCCTATTAGAGTATCTATATTACTTGTTACTGATTTACCTGAAGGCAATCTGATTAATTTCTAGGTTTTTACCATATTCTTGTCATCTTGCCAATTACATTTTAAGTGTTAGACTAGACTAAGATGTACTAGTTGTATAGAATATAACTAGATTTATTATGGCAATGTTTATTTTGTCATTTTGCTTCATCTGTTTTGTTGTTGAAGTACTTTAAATTTCATACGTTCATGGCATTTCACTGTAAAGACTTTAATGTGTATTTCTTAAAATAAAACTTTTTTTCCTCCTTAACCACAGTTATCACAACTAGCAGTTGTGATAGTTTCTAATTTCCTAATAGTTTCTAATATTAGGAAATTCTTTGAACTTTCCTAGAAGTTCTAAGAGTAGGCACATATCCATCCACCTATTCATTCATTCATTTGTTAAATATGAGGGCCCGCTCTGCCTATTCTGTAATAACCCAGTGCTTCCAGGGATAGCAATAACACTGGCTCAGCTATTCAGAAAAAAAGCTGAGTGCCTACTATGTGCAAGTTGTCATATGCTAAAATGTGAGCTTACCAAGATAACTGCAAGTGTCTGCCCTCAAGTTGCTTATAGTTTGCCACAGGAAGACCAAAATATATACTTATTGAGAGAAAGAAGATAAAGTTACGAGTGTTACAGCCCCGAATATGGTGGGTGCTTAAGCTGTTTGTTAAGCAGTTGAGTGGCAGGGAGGGAGATATTCAAGGCAGAAAGCTGATTGAGAAAGCAGTAATAGATGAGATTATAGTGGCAGGATGGTCGAAGTAGGAAAGGCTTAGAGCAAGGGCTAGACTATGTCATGTGTTCTGTGTAGAAGTGAAAATTTGTAAGCTCTAGACTTTTTATTCTGCTCGATCTAATTAGAATCAGTGAGCATAAAATAGGTTTCTAATAGCAAGAACTTGCTATTTAGATAAGGGTAAAAGCGGAAATACTATTAAACAGTCATTTACCTTGAAGAAAATATAAACAGTAGGCTTGTGAGGGTAAAGATATTTTCTTGTAGGATTTATATTTACCGTGTATCCTGTAGTTATGAGGTTGAGTGGTTTTATTTTTGCTTAAGATAACCTCTCCTGTGAGATTTTACTTTGATTGCAAAGGTTGTATTGCTTTTCCTCTTGAGACTGATGTATTTGTTACAGCAAGTTATACCTGCTCACTGTAGAAATTTGAGTTTTATAATATTTAGCCCCCTATCACTGTCACTTTTCTGGGAATACTTGAACATGAATAATTTTTGTCTTGTCACACCCTAGCCCTGTTTGCTTTGGTTAATGTCCAATGTGCAAATGCCTCATTTTCCTCCCACCCATCCTGAGTGTTTTCTTCCTCCTTACCGAAACTAAAAACAGCCCCTTCCCTGAAGGTACTGCTTCCTTTGCAGCCTATTCCAGTGGTGGCTGGTTTATTTTCATCCATATGACTCATTGTTAAGAGGTGGCGGAGGTGTTTTCCTTGTTCCTTTGTCATGTCTTCCATCTCAACCCCCACACACATCTCTTTAAAAAGAGTAACTGTCCATTCACTCTGGTAGGGTAATTTACTAAAATGTCAAATGTTTTTCCTATAATTCTCCTTGGTGAAAAGCATGGATTCTGGAGACAAATCGGAGCCCTGGCATTTATCAGCTGCAGGACTCAAGGGATGTTCCTTGTCAGTGTACCTTAGTTATCTATGTGTAAAGTGGGCCTAAAATCAGTACCAGCCTCATAGGATTTGCAATGAGAATTAAGTTAATACACGTAGAGCTTAAAATAGTGCCAGCCATGTAGTAAGTGCTCAGTAAGTTTTAGCTCTTTTTAGTGCACAGGTGGAGAGATTGCCTTAGGTGGAAGCATGCAGGGCTTCAGTACATACTAGGAGGGAACTGTTGCAGGTGGGTTGGAGATGCCCATGGTGGCAGCTTTTGGAAATTGATTTCACATTTCTTCTGTTTTCTCAGGGACATATACATCAAGGTCATCATAAAAATGATGACACATGAGGAGGTGTTATGTTTGAAGACAGGCAGAGAAGGAAAGGACTAGAGACATTTAGTCAATTAGCAGGCAATGCTAAAGACCCAGTTGAGGTGAGTGCTCATGAATTTAGAGTGCAATCATCAAGCTTCGTTCTGAGTTTTTCTGCAGTCATATTTAGCTTTCTAGATACAGTCTCAGAAAAAACCAGTTGCTTGGATTTAATCATGATTGGGTGTTCCCAGGTGAATTTGATGACGTGAGTTGAGCATGTGCACAAGGGAGTGATTAAAATGATGGACCATAGAATTTAAGCTATGTGAGAAGGGAAGTGAAGACATATGAGTGGTAAGAAACAATGAGTAACAGGATCAATATTTTGTAGACCTTAATGGGGTCATGTCATTGTTAGACTTGGGGTACTATTTAGGATGAACTAGAATGGTAATATGCAGTAGTGAGAAATAAGAATGCGTCAATTGAGGGTAAAACAGAATTGGCAACCAGAGGACAAAGCTGTCTACAAATACACTTCCCCTTCATTTTGGGCACAAAGTTAGACACATTTCCTGGCACTCTTGCAGTTAAGTGTAGACATAGGACTGAGTTCTGGCCAAAGGAACGTGATCAGAGATGTGTAGCATTTCTGGGTCTGGCCCTAAAACATCCCCATATGTGATCCTCCTTGCCTCCTTCCCTACACTGAGTTGATGAAAGTGACTGTAGTAACCTAGTAAGTCATGTGCTAAAGATAACAGAACCACAGAAAGGAAGGAGCTTGAGTCATTGCTTTGAGGAGAGCTGTCTGCTGATCAAGAACACCCACTTTAGATTTCATGTGAAGAAGAAATAAACTTCTGTAATGTTTGAGTTCTAACATTTTGGGGATTGGTGTGTTACGTTATTGTGGTTGACATTATCTAAACTAACACTGAAGCCTTCTAGATTTTGGTGATACAAGGGTTTAAACAGAACTATGGTTGTGAGAAGTTGAGATAAAATGGTGGACAAAAGTATTGGTGCGGAGGAGGCCATGGAACATCTTAATTGATACTGAAATCACCAAGAAGCATGGGGATTCATGTTAGAGAGTGATACTGAGTCAGGGGCTAAAATCTTCACGAAATGAGTGGTTTGTACATCTGAAGATGATTGCAAACAAGAAGATAGCAGGTGCTATATTCTGATGATACGTGACTCGAAGGAAAGGGTTTTGTGGAAAGGAAGGAGGACTGGTCTGCAAATAGCAATGATGAATAAAATAGGGCACCAACTTCACCTCTATGCCTGGTACTATGTGGAATGAAAGTGCAATGAGATATTTTTGCCTATCAGAGATTTGTTTGCACATTCAAACCCACTGTATGATCCTCTTCCACCCCTTGTTATTGCAATCCCCCTACTTTCTGGTCACCCACCCCTGTCTGTTGAGGGATTTGGAACTGGCTCACTGTCTCCCAACCATCCTACAATCTGGTATTATCCATAATTATTTCACATTGACAAGGATGACTCCTTATAACATCTGTGCCTCTGGTTTTATTGACCTTTTGATTTCTAATGACCTCCTTCACTCTACCTGAGTCACTCATCTCCATGGAACCTTCTTAAATCACTAATTCAGGCATATTTTCTTGCTCAATATAATCTTTTCCGCTTTCTAGTTTAGTTACTGCAGTATGTTCATCAACTCTCCACTTTCTTCCTATTTATAAGTCTCCTACTGTGATGGATATTTTCTGTTTGTTCATCCAGGACCACTCTCTAGCACACTCCAACTTGCTGTGACCTCAGAGGCTGACCTATAATGGAAGCTGTGGAGGGGAGAGCTGCATTCCTTCTAATTTTTGTTTTGTCTCAAAACACTCCACAACTTCTTATTTTATTTCACTTTTTTTTTCTACCATCCTATCACCAAAGGATGGCTCCCCTTCCTTTTGACCTTTTCCTCTTTTAGGAACTACACCTTTCAAAGGCTATCAACTCAGATCACATTATGTTTATGGCCCTTTCCTGAAGGTAGTGCTTGTAGTTAGTGCTCTGGTCTACAAGGACACCTTTTCAGCATTTTCATTTTTACGGCAGACTCTTACTTTCTGGCAATGGTTTTGGAGCAATTTGAGGACTTTGCTAGCTCAGCTTTTTTCACTTTCATTGAAGTCTTTCCACAGACTGCCCTTGCTCACCACAGAGGCTTCTAGGAGCAGTGTGAAGGACTCCTGGGTTGTTTTTGTTTTGTTTGTTTTCTTATAGGCAATTTGAAGTAGGTGCTTTGTCTTCTAGTTATGTTGAGAATGTGGTTTTCATGTGACCAGACTTCCTATTGGTGTGGCTGTGGAAAATCAGATGTTTTTATATATTATTGGTGGGAATGCAAACTGATACGGCCATTTTATAGGGGAATTTTCCAATATCTAAAAAAAACCCCACACATACGCATTTACCCTTTGATCCACCAGTCTCACATCTAGAAATGAACTCTGAAGATATACCTCCAATAATATGAAAATATACAGTACAAGGATATTCACCAAAACATTGTTTGTCATTGCAAAAGACTGGAAACCACCTAAATGCTCATATGTAGGACTTGCTCAATAAGCTATGTTATATCCAAACAGTGGAGCATTATGCAGCTCTGAAAAAAGAATGAGGAATATCTGTATGAACTATTATGAAGTATTTCTAGGATATATTATTAAGTGAAAAAAGTAAATACAAAAGACTGGTATGCTACTTTTCATGTGAAAAAGAAGAAATAAAAAATACACATCCTCGTTTGTACAAAAAGAAACATAGGAAGGATAAACTAGAAACAATGAGATAGTTATATACAAGGTATAGGTGGAAATGATGGAGAAGATGGGAATTCCTTCTAATTTTTGTTTTGTCTCAAAAATTTTAGAATAATTGTCTCACATATTAAAAAGCCAAGTAAATATAAGCAATGAAAATAGGGAGAGAGGGGAGAGAAAAAAACTCAACAGAATACAAACACAACAAATGAACCTTTATATATATATATATATATTTTTTTTTTTTTTTTTGAGATGGAGTCTCACTCTGTCGTCCAGGCTGGAGTGCAGTGGTGCAACCCCCATCTCGGCTCACTGCAACCCCCATCTCCCAGGCTCAAGCAAGTCTTCTGCCTCATCCTCCCAAGTAGCTGGGATTACAGGCATGTGCCACCATGCCCAGGTAATTTTTATATTTTTAGTAGAGATGGGGTTTCGCCATGTTGGCCAGGCTGGTCTTGAACTCCTGACCTCAAGTGTTCGGCCTCTCAAAGTGTTGGGTTTACAGGCGTGAGCCACCACACCCCACCCCTTACTGTATTTCAAATGAATAACGACCACAGTTAAGAGGGAGCTGTGAGGTAGAATTGAATTAACCTCGGAACACAGTATTTTGATTATACAAACAAAGGGCTAAAGACAAGAATATGAACAAATGTTGGATTTTGTCTAGTGGGTTTGTTTTTCATAGTAGTATGGGTTAGCAGTTTCAACACTGCATTCTAAGATGGGGTAGGTAAGCAAATATATTGCAAATAATGAGTCAGGATTCTCACTGTTGAAGGGAATTACAAATAAGGGAACACTAGCATGGAGCCTGTGGTATTTGTAATTTGAGTTATCAGTATAAACTCATGATTTGGAACATAACTGATACACAGAGAAACGTGTATACACACACATGCATGTGCATATCTGTATTAGGTTCTCCAGAGAAACAGAATCATTAAGATATATATAGATATATGAAAAGATTTACTGTGGGAATTTGCTCATGCAATTATAGAAACCTAGAAGTCCCATAATATGCCATCTTCAAGCTGGAATCCCAGGAAAGCAGGTGGTGTAATTCTGAGATTGAAGTCTTGAGAACCGGGGGAGTCAATGGTGTAACTCCCAATCTAGGGCTTAAGGCCCAAGGACCAGGGCTGCTGGTGTGCAGATGCAAATCCTGGAGTTCAAAGGATTGAGAACCAGGAGCTCTGGTGTCTGAGGGCAGTAGAAGATGGATGTTCCAGCTCAAGAAGGGAAAGTAAGAATCCGTCCTTCCTCCACTTTTTTGTTCTATTCAGATGAGCCCTCAATGGACTGAACGATGCTCACCCACACTGTGAGGGCTGGTCTTCTTTATTCAATCCACTGACTTAAGTGCTGATCTCTTCTGGAAACACCTTCACAGACACACCCAGAAATAATGTTCTACCAGCCATGGGCCTGTTACTTAGCCCAGTCAAGTTGACACAGAAAATTAGCTATCACAACATCTGTGTGTGTATATACATATGTATTTGCATGTGTGTGTATATATGTGTATATATATTCATGTGTGTGTATATGTGTGTATGTTGTGACTGGGTGTATACACATCCATATACATAAAATATTTCAATATATTATATTTTGTATATATGTTATATATGTTATATATTATATAGTAATATAAAATATATTTAAGACATTTTTATAATCTATATTGTTATACATTATGTAAATATATGTATATATAAATTATATACTTATAAATGTTATATGTTATGTATATTATATATGCTATATGTATTATATGTTATGTCATATATAATTTATTGAATATATTTATAGTATATGAAACATATATAGTCTGTCTTCTTGGAAAAGCATACAAACAATGAGACTCCAGATCCAGATTTCTTTTTTTTTTTGAGACAGAGTCTTACTCTGTCACCCAGGCAGGAGTGTGGTGGTGTGATCTTCGCTCACTGCAACCTCTGCCTCCTGAGTTCAAGCAATTCTCCTGCCTCAGCCTTCGGAGTAGCTGGGATTACAGGCAAGCACCACTACGCCTGGCTAATTTTTGTATTCAGATCCAGATTTCTAAATGTCTTTCTCCAGTTAAAAAAAAAATAGGGCTCCTGGGAGAAATGGCTGATTTCTGGGCTAGGGTAGGGAAAGTAAAAGATGAACCTGGAAATATCTTGTGGTATCACAAATTAAGTGTTCTGAAAATAAGTGCTGAAAAAATTATTGTGACATGTCAAATGGATTCAGAAGCCAACATGAACAAGCTCCCACTGACCAAATCTGAAACAATTACAGCAAATAAATAAATAAATAACGATGGCAATGGATCATAGCACATAGAATAAAATAAGAATTTGAGTCCATACTGATATAATTGAATAATAAAGAGAAGAAAGACACCTTCTTTATAGCAAGATTCCAATTACCTACATGTAGTAAAAATGATGCAATTAGAAAGTCAGCATTTGGCAACCATCACAGTAATAATTATTTCAGGCAAGAATCAATGAATGCTAAATCAGTAAAAGTCTGATGAGAAATAATTATATACTCTTCAATTTTTTCTCCACAAAATACTTAATTGCAAATAATAACTTTGCGGAAGAAAAACCTGACAGACACTATTTTAGCCAAGTGATCAAAACTAACATCACTGATATTGGGACAAATAACACCTAGTTCCTCCTGATAGGATACATTGAAAAGAACTCTGTCATTTCTGTGTGATTGTTGCCAAAAATCATAATCTGAATCAAAATATGAGGAAGTATCCGAAAAAAGACAACTTGACCGTCATCCTACAAAATACCTCTTCCAGAGTGGAAAGGTAGTGAAAATCAAGTAGAAGAAGGGAAATAGAAATTTAAAAAATTAAGAAATGAAATAATAAAGGTAAGTGTAAAAATTAAAATAGAAAACAAAAATAATAGTGAAAATGAAATCAAAAGCTGGGTCTTTAAAAAAAATAAAATTGATAAACTTCCATTTAGATGGGTAAAGAATAAAGAGATAAGACAGAAATTGCCACCCATGAACTTTTAGTAATGCAACAGAATACATCACTCACTGCAGAGCATAATCATTGGAAGAAAAATATGAGAATATGGCAGGCAACTTTATGCCAATAAATTCAATAAACTGGGGATCACGATTATGATCAACATTCACTTTTGAAAGGGCCATGGAGGAAAATGAACCAGGAAGATCCTCCCTGGGGCAGAGCTACCACTGGATGAAATGAACAATTCATTGAAAGACACAAATTACCAAAACTAACCCAATAAGCAATATAAAACTTGAATTGCCCTATTAATTCAAGAAATTGCATTTTTAATTAAAAATCTTTCCAAAAAGAAAAATTCATGCCTAAATGGCTTCACTTGTAAACTCTAGCATTTAAGGAAGAAATAAAACCAATTGTACACAAACTCTTTGAGAAAATAGAAAATACTTCCAAACTCATTTCATGAGGCCAAATATATTAAAAAACTACAGACAAATATCCCTCATGAATATAGACACAAATATACTTAACAAAATTTTAACAAAACAAATTAGTATATGTAAAAGAATACTTACTATACATCATGATGGAATGAGGTTTATCTGGGGAGTGAAAGGTTGGTTTGACATCCAAAAATTAATCAATGTAATTCACCATATTAGAATAAAGAAGAAAATATAATCATTTCAATAAATGCAGGAAAAGCTTTTTGTAAAGTTCAACACTAATTTGTGATTTCAAAAAATCTATCAGCAAACTAAGAATAAAAGAAACATTTCTCTTAATCTAATTAAGGGCATCTTCAAAAACCTACATCTTTCACTGTACTCAATATTGAAAGCCTCAATGCTTTCTACCTAAGATAAGGAACAAGGCAGGGATATCTATTCTGCCATTTCTGTTCAACATTATACTGGAAGTTTTAGCCAGTGCAGTAAGGCAAGAAAAAGAAATGACAGTCAATAAATTGGAAAGGGAGAAGAAAGTCGTTTTTATTGGTAGATGACATGACCAAGTATTAATACATAGAAAGCTTAAAGAGTCTACTAGAACTAATAAGTGAATTTATTGAGGTCAGAATACAATGTTAATGTATAAAAATTATAATTTTATGTATTAGCAATGAACAATTAGAAAATGAATTTCGAAAACAACTTCATTTCCAACAGCATCCAAAAACATGTTAGAGATAAATTTTACAAAACATGGAAGATAGTTTCTTTTCCTGTGCAGAAGCGCTTTAGTTTAATTAGATCCCATTTTTCATAAAAAAAGAATGAGATCATGTCCTTTGCAGGGACATGAATGAAGCTGGAAGCCAACATTCTCAGCAAACTAACACAGGAACGGAAAACCAAACACCACATGTTTTCACTCATAAGTGGGAGTTCAACAATGAGAACAGATGGACACAGGGAGGGGAACATCACACACCAGGGCCTGTCAGGGAGTGGGGGGCAAGGAGAAGGAGAGCATTAGGACAAATACCTAATACATGCGGGGCTTAAAACCTAGATGACAGGTTGATGGCTGCAGCAAACCACCATGGCACATATATGCCTATGTAACAAACCTGCATGTTCTGCACATGTATCCCAGAACTTAAAGTAACATTTTTTAAAAACGGAAGAATTCTATTTAAAAAAAAAAAACTATAAATTTTGCTGAGAGAAATTACAGACTTAAGTAAATGTTATTAACATCATTTTCGTGGGTTGGAACACTCAATATTGTTAAGATAGCAATTCTCCACACATCAATTTATAACTCCAATAGATATTTTTAAAAAGTGATTCCAAATTTATATTAAAATGAATTGCCTCTCTTAAACCTCCCTTATAATTTTTTTAAAAGATTTCAGAAGACTAAACACTATATTACACAGACTCCATTGAAGCTAGGAGTCTAGGAGAAAATTTGATCTACAACGTAACAAGCAGTTATGTGATATTTATTTGGAGGTCAGAATTAAGGTGTAGGTCAACTTCCTACTGCTGCTTCTATTTCCAGCAAGATAAGATCAGCCACAGGTGATTGTGGTGGTCTTTTTCTACTTTCATTTATCTAGTCATCAACTTTATGGGAATAAAAATCTGCGGTAGTGTGTCTGGAATTGCTGGGTTCTTGGTCTCGCTGACTTCAAGAATGAAGCCGCAGACCCTCACGGTGAGTGTTACAGTTCTTAAAGATGATGTGTCTGGAGTTTCTTCTTACTGGTGGGTTTGTGGTCTCGCTGACTTCAGGATTGAAGCTGCAGACCTTCACAGTGAGTGTTACAGCTCTTAAAGGCGGCGCGTCTGGAGTTGTTTGTTCCCTTCAGTGGGTTCGTGGTCTCGCTGGCCTCAGGAATGAAGCTGCAGACCTTCGTGGTGAGTGTTACAGCTCATAAGGGTGGTGCGGACCCAAAGGGTGAGCAGCAGCAAGATTTATTGTGAAGAGCAAAAGAACAAAGCTACCACACAGTGGAAAAGGACCCAACTGGGTTGCCGCTGCTGGCGGGGGCAGCCTGCTTTTATTCCCTTATCTGGCCCCACCCACATCCTGGCGATTGGTCCATTGTACAGAGAGATGATTGTTCCATTTTACAGAGAGCTGATTGGCCCATTTTACGGAGAGCTGATTGTTCTGTTTTGACAGGGTGCTGATTGGTGCGTTTAGAAACCTGGAGCTAGACAGAGTACTGATTGGTGCATTTACAATCCTTTAGCTAGACACAAAAGTTCTCCAAGTCCCCACTAGAATAGGTAGACACAGAGCACTGATTGGTGTCTTTACACACCTTGAGCTAGACACAGAACGCTGATTGGTGCATTTACAAACCTTTAGCTAGACATTAAAATTCTCCAAATCCCCACCTGACTCAGGAGACCAGCTGGCTTCTCCTAGTGGATCCTGCCCTGGGCAGAGCTGCCCGCCAGTCGCACGCTGCGGCGTGGGCACTCCTCAGCCCTTGGGCAGTCGATGGGACCAGGCGTGGCAGAGCAGGGGGCAGCACCCATCTGGGAGGCTCAGGCCACGCAGGAGCCCACCGGTAGGGGGGCTCAGGCATGGTGGGCTGCAGGTCCCGAGCCCTGCCCCGCAGGGAGGTGGCTGAGGCCTGGGAGAATTTGAGCGCGGCACGGGCGGGCCGGCAGTGCTGAGGGACCTGGCGCACCCTCCACAGCTGCTGGCCCGGGTGCTAAGCCCCTCACTGCCCGGGGCTGGCAGCACCAGCCGGCTGCTCTGAGTGTGGGGCCCGCTGTGCCTTACCCACCCAGAACTGGCGCTGGTCTGCGAGCGCGGCATGCAGCCCCGGTTCCTGCCTGCGCCTCTCCCTCCACACCTCCCGGCAAGCAGAGGGAGCCGGCTCCGGCCCGGCCAGCCCAGAGAGGGGCTCCCACAGTGCAGCGGCGGGCTGAAGGGCTCCTCAAGCATGGCCAGAGCGGACACGGAGGCCGAGGAGGCGCCGAGAGTGAACGAGGGCTGCTAGCACGTTGTCACCTCTCAGTAGGAGAGCGATTGTAGCAGCAGCAGATTCCTGAACTCCATGATTTCGATGGTGTGATCCTGAAGTCAGTTGTTCAGAGGCAGTTCTCTAACATTTCCAGCTTTCTTTCAAAGAAACTAAGAGGGATTTTTGTTTTCTTCACTGAAATTTGGCTAATCCAATATTCCACAACTCTTAACTATTTTTATTTCAGTTTCCTTCCCCTTAGCTAATCAATTAAGTTAATCCACTAAGTTCATCAGTGCCTTCCAGTCCACTGATTCTCTCTCAACATTCACTTTTGAAAGGGCCATGGAGGAAAATGAACCAGGAAGATCCTCCCTGGGGCAGAGCTACCACACTAGAGGCACACAGTATTGAGTATAATGAGACTTACAGAGAAGAATATAGCAATCTGGGGAAGCAGACCACACTTACTGAAAGTAGCACTGCAGAAGTAGTGTTTATTAATTTAGATTGTAATTTGAAATTGCCACATTATTCATTTCTAAGATTTCAAATTGCTTTATATCTGACAGTTTGTACTTCAGACCTGCCTATTTTTGTTTTACAGGTCCTATTTAGTTACTAATGGATATTGATCCTTTATTTCTCAGATTTGTTTTGATATGTTTATCACATTTTTCTATTAAGAGAAATTCCACTTAGAGTCAGTTCCTTTCCAAAGTTGATTTTGTTGGCTCTCTCTCATGGCATTGCATTTCTTCACATTTTACAGTTGTGATTTGCAAGTTTTTTAAGTAGACTTTTTAGTTTGTTTCATTCTTTGGTAGATTGTATTAATGTTTCTAATTCTTTACTCCTTCCCTTTTACAGAATTATAACTGGACATCTTTTGCCAGGTGACTTTTCAGTGCCTTCCACTATAGTAGATGGAATATACTTCCCCACTCCATTGAGTCCATTTTTTGTTGGCTAACCTGTAGTTTTAAGATTGTAATTTTTTTAAATCTAGTTACCTTGATTGCTTTTTAGAGAGCTATTAGTCCCAATAACTTAGACCACCATTATTTAAAAATGGAATTCCTAACCACAATGTGTGCACCTCATCATAGGAAGGAACACAAATGGGGGAGTAGAAGAAAACAGAAATGTATTAATAGGCGACAGTGAGTACTTCAGCTTTATGTGTAATGTTTTATTTCTTGTATTACAAAGTAAAAGATATGAAGCATTTGACTAAAAATGTTAATTTATATAATTTGAATGATGGGTACATGGGCAGTTGTTATATTTATATATACTTTTATGTATTCTAAATTTTTTTCTCAAAATAAAAAAGAGAAACAGTCAAGGGTTAGTATTGTGTCATCAAACTCATTACAGACCTCAATTCATTTTGTTTTATTTATTTCTGAACAACATAATTTGAGGAAGTAAAGCATACTTTAAGGAAATCTGTAGAAGGGCAAAGTAAAAGCATTTGAAAAAGTCTCATCACCTGAAAAAGGCAGAGAAAAAAAGAACAAAAGGAAGAAGTGTTCTAGAGGTCTCATCTAGTTTGTATAGGGAAGAAAGTTGAGGTAATACAGCTGTGTGGGAAAAGGGATAGATTCATATATACTTGTTCTTGAGAGCAGACATGTTGTTAACAATGAATGAAATGGAAACACACAACTAATCTTTGAAAGAATGAGATGAACCTGAAAAAAAAAACAACAAAAATAAGAAAAAAAGGAAATAATGATTTAAAATAGATAATGAAGAAACTAAGATACAGACATTAAATAAAATGTAAATGGATTGTTTTCTTTCACTAAAGCTTAAAGATTAGAAAACAAAAGCTGTGTATGAGGGACATGGTGAAATAGTAAAGAAGGGTGGAAAATAAAAGATAAGCAAAGATAAAATGTAAGGTCAGACCAATTATAAAAGGCAAAGATTTATGAAAAAGGTAACATTCATAAATATGTATATATCAAACTACATGCAACTAGCTAAATACATAAAGCAAAGTCATTAGGAATTTGATAAGCCTAATAAAATATAATTATGACTGAAGATTTCAATACATCTCTACCAAAATCAAACAGATTTTGTAGAGAGAAAGAAACCCAGGACAGGGAAAAACAACCTTATATTATCTAGAGACAATATGTTGGCTTTCCTCTACACTAAGACATTTTGATACTGGTGCTTTCTTGATTTCTTGATCTTACCAGAACATGTCAAGTGAAGGTTTTACACAACTACAATGCCACTCCTATGGGCTGACAGCTGTAAAGAGATGCATCCCAATTCTAGAGATGTTAACACGTGAGAAAAATGTTTCTTAGAATCAAAGATATGAGGGGTTTTTCCATACATCAATGAAACATTTGCTCAAAAACGTCATATACTTGGCCATAAAGTATATTCACTTTTTTAAAAGGCCGTGTTGATAAATATGAAAAAGAGAGAAGGTGATCAACAAAATCTTAACCACTTGAAAATTAAGATGCTCCTAGATCACCCTTATATCAAAGATAAAATTTAAAAAATTAAAAACTATTTAGGAAAGAGTGAAAAGAAGAACACACTAAATTATTTGGAACACAGAGAACTTTTCAGTGGAACTTGCAAGCTTTAAATGCCTTCGTTATTAAGGAAAACATTAAAAATAAAGGAATTTGAACTCATCTGTGGAAACTAAAGAGCAACAAACTAAATAAAAAGTTTTAACATATTAGTCAAGATACATATATAAACATAGAATATCAAATAAAACCTGACACCTCAATCTAAGGTCTGTAAAAAACTTTAAAACAAAGATTGGAATCGTAAGAGTTAAAGAAATATAGACATTTTTGACAATGCAAAAAATGTAAATAATGGTTAGAAAAAGTGGAAATAAATTGCTAAAACACAAAAGAGAGATTAATGGTTTGTGTCTATAATAGACAAAAAGCTCTTACATTGATAGGTAAATGACATAAAACCCAATACAACGTGGACAGGTATACTGATAGGAAATTTTTAGCAAGGTAAATCAGATTGATCAAGAACATATGAAAAGATGTTGACATTCACTAGGAGTCAGAGTAAAGAAAATCAAAATAATTTTCCGAGGTGTGAAGTATTAGAATGAACACAGAATGATGGCATTTCAGGGCTAAGGCTGGAAATGGCCCCTCTAAGTTGCCATGGGAACTGAGTAAACCTGGTCTTAACCATGTATTGGAGAAGGAATCTATCCACAAACCAAGGAGGAGTGTGGGTGCGGGTTGGGACCGGGCTGACCAAAGGCCGCCGGAGAGGAGGAGGCCTGGGGATCACAAAATGCTTGAGGATGGCACTGCGTCCTGGGTCTGTACAGTATGGTTTGCAATAAAACTCAAAATCTTCCAGCCGAGATAAGAAAAAAAATAATTACAAATTACATGAATACCTACCTAGACAATCCAATTAAACTCTAACAAAATATGTTGGATTTAACAATGGACCTAATATTAGGTAAATAGTGACAATAATAAATTGGATATGACAATGCAAAAATAATCCTGTTTATGAGTGATAATCATCTTAAAATATCGAAGAATGTAGGTACCCAGGAAGATTCTTCAAATATGTGAAGGAACTATTCACATTTCTTTAAAAATTGTAAGAACAGCTCTGAAAATTTAAGGTAAGTCATTTCCTTGTTGAAAAATGTGAAAATAACTAGTCATCACAAATTTAAAAATAAAATCAATGCAATTCCAAACAAATTCCAATGAAGTTTTTGTTGAAGTGAGCTGGACAAAAGATAATGAAGGTTTGTATGTGTGAAAGAAATAATTCAATTGTATTATTGATTATATAAGGAAAATTCATTATTTCTGAAAAATTATAATTTACTTTAATCATTAGCTTTTTAATCATAAGTGTTACTACTATATGAACAAAAACAGGTGAGGTTGTTATTCATAAGTCCAAGAAATGACGTTGAATTTTGTTAGTTCTCAAAAAAAAAGTAACTTTTAGGAATGAAGTTCATGCAGTGTTCTAATTTATAAAACAAACATTAGTTTTCAGTCAACCATTGGCATATGATATGGTACCCAGATATTCTAATTGTAGTAATTTTTTAGTGCTACATAATTTGTAATATAGTCTAAGATTGATGAGAAGTAATTTAGAATGACACTGCTTATGTAAATTGTTAATCATTTTAGTTGAGCATATATATTAAATTTACATAAATTCAAATAGTATCATAGATAACATCAAATATTTATGTTTCATTTAATTTAGGCTTTTTTAATGAAAAAAAAAGTTTTGGCACATACTAAAATCAAGACCAGCTACATAATTTGTAGAGCCCAGTTCAAAATGAAAATACAGAATCCCTTGTTCCTAAATCATTAAGAATTTCAAGATGGTGACCACAGGGCTCTAAACCAAGGGCCCTTGTGAGCATGAGTCCCAGTGTGATTATAAGAGTTGCATGCCCATGAAGCCAGCCCTGACTAACATACCATGCATGCATTTATTTTTACACTGAAACAGCTGAGAGAAGACATAGAGCTTTTTAATACCCCAAATACATAAAACGATACAATTTATCCAATGGTTTACCTTGATTAAGGTTATGATGAACTTGGATTATAAATGTAATTATTTAGCATGTAAGAGTAAAGCTTTGTAATTCCTGGTTTAAAATACTTATTTCAGAAGTTTTCAGTCTTTAAAGATACAAATTTAGGTTTAAAATTTATTTACCTTTTTACAGAAAAAATGGATGAGAACTTAAATTTCCATTTTTCTTGTTTAAATACTTTCTGAAGGACAGAAAGAGTTTAAATTTGGGAAAATAAATTTTCAATTAATCATTTAGATGTTTTTATGCATAGACTTATGAGTATTTTTCTTTTTTCTTGCCAAAAATGTGACATCTATTTTTAACTCAATATCATTAACTAAAGGGCTTAAAACTCAATTGAATAATGTCCTTTTAAAATGAATTTGGCAGGAGCTGTTTCCAAGGAGAAAAGACTTTTGAGATACAGTTCTCTAATAAATTAGTCTATTTTATTTATAAAAACTACATTGACCTGGTGACTGTAGAGCCTTTACTTTTTCCCCAGCAGGTGTGTTTTCTTATACCATGACCAAATATGAAGAATTAGAAAGTTTTGCTTTGTTTCTTAATTTTTTGCAAATTTTTAGAGTCATTCTATATTTAGACAACTATTAAGTGATTTTTAATGCCAATTAAAACAGGGATTCCATTATTTAAGGGACTTATCAGAATTATCTAAAAACACACAAACTAGTCTAGATTTTAAAAATCCTCCAATCATAACCTGTACCTACCCTGGAATTATTTCATTTCTGAAGAAGTCTGCAGTAATAGGTGCGTCATCATCAAATGCGAAATCTCTTTTTGGAGTTCTGGGAATTCCCCATTCCTCAGGGAGGATTCCAATTTTGTTGGAACTAAAAATTATACAAATGTTGAGGGGAGGGATAATTTTTAAGAAAAAAAATACAAAACCATGAATTAAAATTTAGTTTCTACTGCCTTGGAAGGAACCATACAAGGAAAGCCCCCTGAAGCATTAACATCAAGGGTAAACCTTCCTCTGGCCACATCCCACCTCTCAATTCAGGTTGGCATTCATAAAGGGGAGGAGGTAATCACCCTTAATCAATGTCTACAATACTTTTCTTCCATGGAAAATAAAGAACTGTACATATTCTGAACAAGTTTAGGTAAGCTGATAGAAGGTTGTCTTTCTGATTGCCTGCTTGGCACAAGGTTCAAGAGGGAAGCACATACTCGGAAGAAAAAAAAAAAATCCTTCCATTCAGCTACCCTGAGCTTCCACTTCTGCTCAACCAGACATTCATCTGCCCTATTCTCCAGATGGTGGCAGTTCCTTGCAATGAGGAACGCCATCGATCTACTAAGGAGAGGGCTCTGCTTTTTACTGAAATGTCATATTGAGGCAGGAGAATAGAGTCTGGAGACAGGGAGCCTAAGGCCAACCCACTGCTGACTTCTTGGAATTGGACCAAAAGGAAAACCCCACCTCTTCATGCCCAAGTGATAAGGGGCCAGAGGCCCCCTTCTTCTACAAAACCCCCTTTCCCCTTTGTCACAAACAACAAATGCCTCTAATTAGTCCCAGGCCGAACCTTCACTTCAGCCTCTGATTAGTCGGGGATCAATCCTTCATTTGCATAGGGTGTAACCAATTGGAGACCTCTAAAGTGTACCTAGTGGTGTTACCAAATTCTTTTAGCTTAATGAAAACCCTAAAGAACATTGCAATTGGGGCTCTTGAGCTGCTTGTTTGAGCCTGCTCCCGCTCTGTGAAGTGTACTTTCTTTTCAATAAATCTGTGCTTTCGTTGATTCCTTCTTTTATTGCTTTGGTTGTGGGTTTTAATTATTTGTTCAGCCAGCCAAGAACCCAACTTGCAGTCAAGGCTTTCCATCCAGTAGCAATATTTTGTTAGCTGGCTTACTTATGTTAAGTGTTGCTCACTTTCAATCCATGAATTTTATTTTACGACATTTTAAGATTCACCAATTTGGCAAATTTTTAAAGTTAATTCCATTTTTAATTTTTGTTAACAAATGTATTTTCACAAAATTCGTCTGATGTTTTTCTCTTAAAATTGATTAATTCTGTTCTAGAGTATATCACATGTATTTCTGTCAATAATAGCTTTTACTTCTCATAATTTTGTTTTATATGTGCATTTTTATTGAATTAATCTTTCATTTTGATAACTATATACTTAATAATAAAGGACTTTTGGACATTGCTTTTAGTGTATCATGTGTTAAAGCTAAATGTCTTATTTATTTATTTTATTATACTTTAAGTTCTAGGGTACATGTGCACAAAGTGCAGGTTTGTTACATATGTATACATGTACCATGTTGGTGTGCTGCACCCATTAACTCATCATTTACATTAGGTATTTCTCCTAATGCTATCCCTCCCCGCTCTCCCCACCCCACAACAGGCCCCCGTGTGTGATGTTCCCCACCCCATGTCCAAGTGTTCTCATTTTTCAATTCCCACCTATGAGTGAGAACATGTGGTGTTAGAATTCGTTTTTTAGATGTTTACTGCTCCTATTGCAAATTAGTATTGACGTGAATTCACAGAGCTTGAAAGACTTCCAAGCTGCATTTTCAGCTTTCGCTCCTCAGCCTGCTCACCAACATCCAAATAATCCTTCAATTTTCATTATTTAGATGTCTGCGTCTTTCTTTTGTCATTATTTTATATAATGTTTATTGGATTGTGAAAATGAATAAATAATTGTTGAGAAATGATTTGTGGTGCTTTGTTTGATTTCAGTTTCCTATTGAATCATTCAGAAACAATTAAATATTTTGGCTTGTAGTGCCAAAGTAAAATATCTGAAATTTTTCTAGAATTTTGGACAAAGTTCCAGACATTTCTACTAGCATGCACTGATGACACCAGTTCTCTCTGTATAGAATTCAGTGACATTTTCAAATAAATATTTCTAATTGACACAACTTTTCGTTTTAGGAATATTTGTGTGTGTGTGTGTGTGTGTGAAGAGACAAGGTATCACTCTGCTATTGGAGTGCAGTGGTGCAATCATGCTCACTGCAGCCTTGAACACCTGGGCTCAAGCAATCCTCCCACCTCAGCCTCCTGAGTAGCAAGGACTATAGGTATGAGCCACCATGCCCCACTGATTTTTTTATTTTTATTTTTGTAGAGACAGGGTCTTGCTGTGTTGCCCAGGCTGGTCTTGAACTCCTGGCCTCAAGCGATCCTCCCACCTCGTCCTCCCAAAGTGCTTGATTACAGGCATAAGCCACCAAGCACAGCTATCAATACTATTTTTATCAATAAATAAGTATAGATTTTGCTTTAATTCAGATGTTACATTAATTACATTAATTCTAGCACTACCAAATCATTAAATTACAAGGAATTTTACATTTAAAGTAAGTAAATAAAATATATATTTATGTCAAATAAAATTTGGAAATAGATTCAGTTCTATAAGAGATTTTAATATATGATGAAGAAATAATAGATTATGGTATGGTTTGTTAAATTAATAGTGCTGCCATAATTGATAATTGATTAAAACAATAATCCCTTGCTTTGTAAGTTTTCATAAAAGTTATTTTCTCATTTTAATAGAATATGTGTTGTGACAAGTGGTCCACAACCCTAGATAACAATGAAAAACATATCATTATTATTTTTTGAAGTGATATTAAGCATTTTACTCTGAAATTGCTTTAGTATTTTTAACTAATCATAGTGTTTAAATTATGATGGTTTATTCTCAGTTTTAAAATTCATTTCATCAATACATTGATAAAAGATTGTTTCAGAAACTTTAAAATATTTAAAGGTAGAACTTATTTAATATGTGCTTTTAATTATGTCTCTTGATGATTATAACTATTCTTTATTTCAGCATGAGTTTTACAAAATTTTAGTCCTGTTTTGGTGAATCTATGAATGTTCCCACTTTTAAAGATACAACATTTAAGTGCCATTTGCATCCATTTTCTTTTTCAGTATTTTTTTCCTCAATATGAAAGGATACTTAAGAGTTTTCTGGCATTTCCTGATGTTTCTCAGTTAAGACTTTTACTGCACTTTTTTTTTTTTTTTTTTTTTTTTGAGATGGAGTCTCACTCTGTCACCCAGGCTGAAGTGCAGTGGTGTGATCTCAGCTTACTGCAACCTCCGCCCCCTGGGTTCAAGTGATTCTCCTGCCTCAGCCTCCCAAGCAGCTGGGACTACAAGCACATGCCACCAAGCCTTGCTAATTTTTTTTTTTTTTCTGTGTTTTTAGTAGAGACGTGGTTTCACCATATTGGTCAGGCTAGTCTTAAACTCCTGACCTCGTGATCTGCCTGCCTCAACAGGCATGAGCCACCGCACCCGGCGACCTTTTCTACTATATCAGGTGATGTTCCAGGCTGTAGCACATTGATATAATCTTATTTTCTCAGAGATTCAGAAGATTCATATTAATAATAGTAAAAAGAGGAACATTAAGAAACATATTCAGAATTTGTTGGATGTTTATTTTCAATATTAATACACCTTATTCACTAAGTATCAAAGTACTACATATTTACTAGTCACATATAAATCTCACTCTAACCATAATATCAAATCAAACTAGTTAGAAACAAGCAGGTATGAGCAAAAGAAGTGTTATGATTTAAATTATCATTAAAAAGATAGTTAATATGCATATTGGATAAATATCCACGTTAAAACAATTTTAAGAGTGAGGCAAATCGAGTTTTAAAATTTTTACAAGCCATTATTTTATTACACAGGAATCTTATTCCTGCACCAAGGAAAAAGGAAGCTCAATTAGCTCATTCAGAACTTTTCTTCCTTAAGTTCATGTGACATTACTTCAATTATATCGTGAATTTAAAGGAGGACATCTCAAAATATTATTCATAGTTAACAAATTCCAGGTCATTGGCATTATTATATGGCTCTGTGTTCAATACAGGTTATTCTATTGATTTAATTTGCTTAAATGTTTTCACTCATTCAAAATAATGACAAATTGAAATTAAATATATCTTATTTGAAAAGAGTTGACATATTTCCACTAAGGATTCTTCTTTTCCAGGAACAGGAATAAGGACAACTTGACACTTTGATCTTCTTTACCAATAACTGATCTGTTAAAAATAACTTGGGTACTATGCTTACTACGTGGGTGACAAAATAACCTGTACAACAAACCCCCATGACATGAATTTACCTATATGACAAACCTGCACATGTACCCCGAACCTAAAATAAAAGTTTAAAAAACAAATAAATACTTTGGAAGGTTGAGGCAGGTGGATTGCCTAAGCTCAGGAGTTCGAGACCAACCTGGGCAACACGGTGAAACCCTGTCTCTACTAAAATACAAAAAATTAGCCGGGAATGGTGGTGTGCCTGTAGTCCCAGCTACTCAGGAGGCTGAGGCAGGAGAATTGCTTGAACCGGGGAGATGGAGCTTGCAGTGAGCCGAGATCACGCCACTGTACTCCAGCTCTGGGTGATGGAGTGGGACTCCATCTCTTAAAAAAATAAAAAAAATAAGTAAATAAATAAAAATAAATGGTCTGGTTACACATTTTTTTTCACTTCTTACGTAAGTTTTGGTAATTTATTTTTCTTAGAAAAATTGCTTTTGAATCCGTTTTTTCATTTATAAGAATAATTTGTGCCTATAATCACAGTACTTTGGGAGGCTGAGGCAGGCAGATCACTTGAGGTCAGGAGTTCAAGACCAGCCCGGCCAATATGCTAAACCTCGTCTCTACTAAAAATACAAAAACTAGCCAGGCATGACGGTGCATGCCTGTAATCCCTGCTACTTGGGAGGCTGAGGCAGGAGAATCACTTGAACTTGGGAGGCGGAGGTTGCAGTGAGCCGAGATCACACCACTGCACTCCAGCTTAGGTGACAGAGAGAGGCTCCACCTCAAAAAAGAAAAAAACAAAAAAGAATAATTTGTTATTTTATAATTATTTCAATTTCCTCCCTTTTTTGCTCATTTGTTTTTTCAATGAAAATCTACTGAGGGCATAGCAAGTTTCTAGGTACTGTTCCAATATTTAGTATATATTGGTGAATAAAATGGATGAAGTTTCTTCTATTTTGGGTCTTCAATGTTAGTGAGGAAAGACATGGGAAAAAGCAGCAAAGTGATTTCAGGTAGAGTAAGTGCCATAAAGGTAATATAGCAGTGTGATAGGAGAGAGAATAAATGGTAGAAGGAATTTTTTTAGAGTGGTCAGAAAAGGATATTTTGAAAAATTGACATTTAAGCTGAGACCTGAAAGATGAGGAGGAACCAGCAACACAGATGTGGGAAGATCTAGGAAAAT
Source organism: Homo sapiens (assembly GCF_000001405.40). Classification (NCBI taxonomy): domain Eukaryota; kingdom Metazoa; phylum Chordata; class Mammalia; order Primates; family Hominidae; genus Homo; species Homo sapiens. The sequence goes on from NC_000001.11 coordinate 207,382,787, forward strand.
AATATCTCCGGAAGAAAGAAAATACCAAAAGCTCTGAAAAGAAAATGAGGTTAAATTATATTTATTTCTATATTTTCTTTGCTAATTCACTGTATTTGTGGTTTGCCTCTTTTTTCTCATTGCTTGTGGTTTAATTTTTATTCCTAAGTCAGAGAATTAGCATTGAATTTGTTTCTTCATTCTACTACTTGTTTTCTTTTTCTTTTTTTATTTTAAGGCGTTATTAAAATATGATTGACAAATTGCACTTGTTTAAAATGTACAATCGGATACATTTTTTACCTATTTATACCCCCATGAAATCATCATCTTCTGTTACTATGAAGATACCCTTTGTGCTCTTTTCCTAAGCAGTCCCTCCACTTGGTGCAATCAATGCCATCCACTCTTGCCTACTCCAGGATGTGTTCTTGCAATCATTCCTCCTCTTTATCCTCTGGAATCAGTTTCTTGTTTCTATATTCTCCTCCTCTTGCAGCCCCAAACTTTCCAAAGAAGTTCTCTATTCTCATTATCTCTGATTTCTCACCTGCCTTTCTCTCTTGAATCCAATCTAATTAAGCCCCCTTTCCCATCACCCCACCAAAATGGCTCTTGTCAAAATTACTGATGACTTCCATGTTACCAGACTGGATGGCCAATTCTTGAGATTCAACTCTCAGCAGCTTTTATTATATATAAATTTCTTTATTTGTTAGTTGTTACAACCCATAGAATGTAAGGTCTTTGTTTTGTTCACTGCTATATTCCTAAAATCTATCATAGTTTGTAGCACATAGTAAGGGCAAGTTAACTATTTGCTGAATGAATGGTAATTGAATCTCCTTCATGTGTAGTTTTCTAGTGTATAATCTTCTCTATAATATTTTATGTTCCCTTTCTCCACTGGGAAGGGGAGGCATGTCAATATCATTTCATAGGTCACATGAGTTTTTTTTCCTAGTTACTAATATTCTTAAAAAGATAGGATCTTTAGGGCATATACTGAGTGGGGTGAGTCAAGGAGAGTGCTTCAGTATTGTTGACTCTAATCATCTCAGTAATTTTTCGTTTGTTTGTTTGAGACAGAGTCTGACTCTGTCGCCCAGGCTGGAGTGCAGTGGTGCTATTTCTGCTCACTGCAACCCCTGTCTCCTGGTTCAAGTGATTCTCTTGCCTCCACCTCCCAAGTAGCTGGCATTATAGATGTGGACCACCATCCCCGGCTAATTTTTGTATTTTTAGTAGAGATGGGGTTTCACCTTTTTGGCTAGGCTGGTCTCGAACTCCTGGACTCAAGCATTCCACCCACCTCAGCCTCCCAAAGTGCTGGGATTACAGGCATGAGCCACTGTGCCCAGCCTAATCATCTCAGTAATTGGACTCTAGGCTAACAGGAAGTCTTTCTAAGTCATTAAGTATTGTACAGTATGTTTCCTCATGGAAATTTGTATAACAGCTATTTCAAAGCTGTCTGCTCTTCACTTTTTCTCCTTCACTCTAATGTACTCAAGCCTGATTTTTGCAAAGAAGGCATGACATTGCTTTTTGTTACATTTGTTACTGCTAAGTCCTTCTTCCCTTGACACTCCAAAGTCTCAAATGGGCTATCGATACTCCCTACTCCCAATCTATTCTATTTATTTACCTGAAATATTATATTTTTTGTTTACTTGCTATTTTATGTATCCCCCAACTAGAACACAAGCATCATGAGGAGCTCTGTTTATTTTATTCGTTGCTGAATTCTTTGTGGCTAGAAAAGTGCCAGGCATGTTATTGGCTCAGTAAATGAATGTATGAATCTACTTAAATACCAGGTGTTATATGTGCCTCAGTAAGGGATATGAAAAGGCCACAGGTGCGATCCATCCAAAATTACTTTCTCTCAGCAAAAATTCCATCTTGGCATCCAGAGGTTTATTGGGGTTTGTTACACATGCATTCTATTCAATACTGTTCATTGAAAAGAAAGATTCAGTTAGCCTTTCTACCTTCTTTATTATCTATGAGATTTGTTATAATTCCACCTTGGGGGGAACATGGGTGATTTTTAACGTAATTTGTTACCCATTGTTTTGTTTTCAAAATAATGTTTTATTTCTAGATTTAAAAGGTGTAAATAGGTTGGAGTTTAATAAGAGGAACAATGTATATTTCTTAATGGGGGGAAGAAGAAGACAAAGATACAGGTATGTTTGTGTATTTCATGGTGTGAAAATGAGAGTATTCTTTACTGTTGCCTGCCATTTTCTTAGTGAATTAAAAAGTAAATTATCACCTGGATGTGGAACATCATGGAAAAGAATATGACATATTTTAGAAGAACAATGGCATGATACAGTAATCTAATGAAAACCTTAGGACGCGTTGGAAATGCTGAATACAGTTTAAGGTTTCTAAACATTAATATGTAGTGAAAACAATCAACCCAGATGTGTGGATTTTTTTTCCAGCAATTTTCAGCTGCTAAAGTCCACATACGTAGAAAGAGTAGATGATTGAATTCATCCAGGGTTGGAGCATATGTATGCTAGAGAGAAATTGAGACAACGAATACAAGCAAATTTGCAAGAGTGATTATGATGTACTACACCATCAAAACTGAGAAAGAAGAGTGTGTAGAAGGGACTAATGGATGGTGAGTAAAGTGCTGGAATCAATCTAAAGGTCTTATTTAGATTAAAAAAATTCTGAGGTGGAAAGTGTTTTAATAAATGAACTGGAAGTTTAAGAGGTAGTAGATGTAGGATGTTTCAGATCACAAGAGGTAAAGAGTCAAGAAACTTTAAGGTCAGAATATTCAATGGATTATTAAGTGAATGGTGATAGCATAAAGATATTTCTTTGTCTGTACACAACCTGTCAAATCTTGCATGTTCTGGCCCCATCTCTCACTCAAGATTTATCTTAAGCTGCCTCACTCTTGCTCCATAAGCTTTAGCCACATCAGTCTATTCTCAGTTATTTCCCTCCTAAGCGCCTTCTCACAAGATGCTAGTTGTATTGTACAGGTTTCTATCTTAGAGGCCCTTTATGACCTGCCTCTCTTCCCCACATCTTACCTGTCACATCTCTTCTCTCTGTGTTTCTTAATTTATGCTGTATCAAAAGCAAACTCGCACACCCCACACACACTATTTTCTATTCAATATTTTCTATTCAATTACATATCACTTCTTACTGTTATAATTATATATTTTGCTTCATATAGATATTTGTGATATTTATCCTATTTTGTTGTTGACTGCGTATTGTTAGTTTTACAGCTGAAATTATTAAAGGATCAGTGAAATTCTTATGGTGGTAAGAATTAACTCACTATTTTATAAGCTAGTTTCATGAGTTATGAGTAGATGTTTAACTGTTACTTTATTTTTATGTGAGATGCTGAATTCTGTTGTTGGTTTCCTGATAAATATTTCTTTTTTATTTTTCAGATTATCATATCTTCCTTTACATTAATTTATCAGACTTAGCCTCTTCTTCTGCTGGTAGTATTAATCTCAAGGACAAAGTCAAAAGTATTTATAAGGATTCAAAGAGGTGCTCATAGAGCTATTGAGAAATTTTTTTTAATTTCTTCCTAGCATTTAGAAATATTCTACTTTAAAAGGTAAGATAAATAAAAGAAGAGATGAAAAAGGAGACATTACAACCAATACCACAAAAATTCAAAAGATCATTAGAAGGTATTATGAGCAACTGTATGCAAATGAATTGGAAAACCTGAAAGAAATGGATAAGTTCCTAGACATATATACCTACTGAGATTGAATCATGAAGAGATAGACCACCTAAATAGGCCAATAACAAGTAATAAGATAGACACAGTAATAAAAAGTGTTCCATCAAAGAAAATCCCAGAACCTTATGGCTTTCCTGCTAAATTCCACTAAACACTTCAAGAAGAACTAATATCAATCCTACTCAAACTATTTCAAAAAATTACAGAGAAGAAAATACATCCAAATTCATTTTATAAGGCCAGCATTACCCAGATATCAAAAACAGACAAAGATACACAACAATGAAAAAACAAAACCAAATGCCAATATCTCTGATGAACATAGATGGGAAAACTGTCAATAAAATACTCGCAAACTGAATTCAACAACACATTATAGATTATTCATCATAATCAAGTGGGATTCATTCCAGAAAAGCAAGGATGGTTCAATATGTGCAAATCAGTAAATGTAATACATCACATCAACAGAATGAAGGAAAAAATGATTTCAATAGACACCAAAAAAGTATTCAATAAAATTTAACATTCTTTCATGATAAAAAAATAAAACTCTCAACAAAGTGGGTATAGAAGGCAAATACCTCAACACAAAAAAGGCTGTATGTGACAAACCTGTAACTAGTATTATACTGAATGGGGAAACACTGAAAGCCTTTCCACTAAGGTGTGGAACAAGACAAAGATTTCCACTTTTACCACTTTTATTCAACATTGTAATGTAAGTCTTAGAGCAATTAGGCAAGAAAAAGAAATGGCAGTTAAATAGAAAGAAAGAAATCGACTTATTCTTACTTGGATATTATCTTATAGTTAAAAAAGCCTAAAACCTTCACTAAAAAACTATTTGAACTAATAAACAAATGCAGTAAAGTTACAGGATAGAAAATCAATTCACAAAAAATCAGTAGCATTTCTATATGCCAACAGCAAACAAGCTAAAAAAAGAGAGAAAGCAATTCTATTTACCATAGCTACAAAAAAACCCATAGAAATCTACTTAAAGAAGTGAAAGGTCTTTACAATGAAAACTATAAAACTCTGATTCAAGAAATTGAAAAAGACATAAACATATGAAAACATATTCCATGTTCATGCATTAGAAGAATCAATATTGTTAAAATATCCATACTACACAAAGCAATCTACAGATTCAGTGCCATTCCTATCAAAATATCAATGATATACTTCACAGAAATAGGAAATACAATCCTACAATTTATATGAAATCACAAAAGGCCCAGAATAGACAAAGCTATCCTGAGCAAAAAGAACAAAGCTGGAGGCATCCCATTAGTTGGCTTCAAATTATATTTCAGAGCTATAGTAACCAAAACAGCATAGTATTGGCATAAAATCAGACATGTAGGCCAATGGAACAGAATAGAGAACCCAGAAATAAATCCTTGCATTTACAGTCAATTCATTTTCAAAAAAAGGTGCAAAGAACATACGTCGTGGAAAAGACAGTCTTTTCAGCAAATGATGCTAGAAAAACTGGATATCCATATGCAAAAGAATGAAACTAGATCCCTATCTCTCCACATATACAAAAATCAAATCAAAATAGATTAAAGACTTAAATCTAAGACCTGAAGCCGTAAAACTACTAGAAGAAAGCGTTGAGGAAATTAATTGAGGCAAAGATTTCTTGAGTAAGAGCTCAAAAGCACAGGCAATGAAAGCAGAAGTGGACAAATGGGATCATATACAGCTAAAAAACTACACAGCAAAGGAAACAGTCAACAAAATGAAGAGACAACCCACGGAATGGGAGAAAATATTTGTAAACTATTCCAATGACAAAAGATTAATAACCAGAATATATAAGGATCTCTAATAACTCAATAGCAAGAACCAAATAACTGGATTTAAAAATGGGCAAGAGATCTGAATAGTCACTTCTCAAGGGAAGACATATGAATGGTCAACAGATATCTGAAAAAATGCTCAACATCACTAATTATCATGGAAATGCAATCAAAACCACAATGAGTTACCCCAGTTAAAATGGCTTTCATTGAAAAGACAAAAAACAATGAATGCTGGCGAGGATGCAGAGAAAGGAATGCTGATACACTGTTGGTGAGAATGTAAGTTAGTACAGCCACTATGGAAATCAGTATGGAGTTTCAGCATGGAAAAAAATAAAAAACAGAACTACCATATGATCCAGCAATCCCACTGCTGGGTATATATTCAAAAGAAAGAAAATCAGTATATCAAACAGATACCTGCACTCCTATGTTTATTGCAGCACTATTCACAATAGCCAAGATAAAGAATCAACATAAGTGCCCATCAACAGATGAATGGATGAAGAAAATATGGCACACATACACAATAGAATATTATTCATCCATAAAAATGAATGACATCCTGTCACTTGCAACAACATGGATGGTAATGGAGGTCATTGTGTTAAATAAACCAGGGACAGGAAGAAAAATATTGCATGTTGTTGCTCATATATGGAAGTTAAAAAAGTGATCTAATGGAGGTAGAGAGTAGTCACTGGAGGCTGGGAAGGGTATTGGGGAGGGATGATAAAGAGAGATTGGTTCATGGCTACAAAAATACTGTTAGATAGAAGGAATAAGATACTGAGTTCAGTAGCACAATAGTGAAAATATCGTATATTTAAAAATAACTAGAGAAGTGGATTTGGAATATTCCCAACACAAAGAAATGATAAATGTTTGAGGTGATGGATATACCAATTACCCTGCTTTGATAATTATACATTGTGTTCTTGTATCAAAATATGACATGTACACTATAAATATGTACAACTATTATGTATCTATAAAAATCAAACATTTTTAAAAGGTAAGAAATAGTTCTCATTAAAAATATCACTGAGATTATTTTTCCATTATAAATTATGTTTCAAAGAACCCAACACAATAAGAACATTCAAAACTCATTTGCAACTTCTGTGGAGGTTTTATCTCTAACCCTCTCTCATTTATTTTATCATACTTTTCTAGCTTTAAAACATATTTCCTTTAGATGTCCTGGGATAAAAAAGACAGAGGTCATGTACCCGTTTTGCTTTATATTTAATAAATCTAAATAGAATCAACTGCTAATCATTTCCTTTTACACCTAATGCTTTTATATATACAAAATTATTGGATCAAGGCAAAGGATTCTATAAGGTAGGGAGTGATTCCCTAAGTTGGGCTGTGTATCAGTGTCACTTCTTCAGACATACAGATGCCTGGTATAAAAGTTGGTCACATGAATTGGGTCATTTTTATCATATCCAACTAAAACAGTCAATTGGCCAGGGGGAAAAAGCATTCAGAACACATAACATTGATCAAAGAATGCAATTCTATGCAAGCCTGGTTGCTGAAACTGCCTTCTGTAACCTGAAATTGGTTTTTCTAATTACTGAAACAACCTGCTGTGACTCTAAGACTAGTTTTACCCAAGGCTGTCACTCACCAATCAGAAGTTGCCAGCTCCCCCAAACTTTACTAGTGCCAATAAACTTTCCTACAAAATAATATGCAACATTTCTCGTTTTTGTTTTTGTTTTTTTATAAAACCTCTAACCTCTTTGTTTTACAGACATACCATGGACCACCCAGTCTGTGTGTATGCCCCAAATTATAAGTCTTGCTTCCCAAATAAAACATTTTAAATTTAGAGATTCATCTCTAGTTTTATTTGACTTTGACACTAGTCATAGATCCAGATCACCTGAGTTAGATTTTCCAGTGGTGAAAAATAAAAACTCATGATGTGTCACAGGTGACTCACATATAGCCAAGTGTGAGAGCCACTGTTTTAGACATGAGTATATGCACAGAATGAGTAGCTGCTTACATGTAATGAGTATATAATGAATAGCTGTTTAAATGAGTAGAATGTTTTAATGTCTTCTATTAAAGTCTGAAATATTCTGATAGATTTACCAGAGGTCTACCTACTCTAATTTCTGGATACAAGATGCTGAATTACAATAAATCAGTATTTATGATGTCACTGTAATTGAGTTTGAAATCTAATTAACTTTACATTTTTACATTTTGCCAAATATTGCCAAGTCTATTTTTAACATTAAATGCTCCTGGCTCAGTGATATGGAGAAAAATAACATCTTAAATCATTCAGTAAAACCTAATTATAATTTTAATAAATACATTGTCACTTTTATCAAAGTAGGTTATTCACTAAAATTTTAACCTTTATTAGTTTGCTTAGAATCTTAATGAAATAATAAATCAAATGTAGTATTTTACATCTTAAAATTTTTAGTATTTAAAAAATCTTGGAAGCAATTAATATAAGAAATTTTTATATGTTGACACCAATGGTTTATAATTATTGGATTTTATTTTTCTTGACATGATTATAATAAAAGAAACTTAGTAGTAGTGATCTTCATTGTTGTAGTTGCGGATTTGTTAAAACTCCTTTCTGGTAGGTAAAATAAATCAGCCCATTTTAGCTTTAGGAAAATTCAATGTATATGTATGTGAAGGGTGTTTTATAAGGATATAGGAGTCTCACAGACCCCACTGACAGTACTATAGCTGCCTTCAGATGGGCAGTGGAGCCAGGCCCTGGAAGGCAGTCAGGGTCTTCTCTGCATCTTTCTTCTTTTTTCTCTTTGGGTGCCTGCTTACATTTTTGTTGCTTGTTGTTGTTGGTTTTTTTTTTTTTTTTTTTTTTTGTCGTTCTTTGGACTGTTCTGCTACATTGTCTGTATACAGCAGGAGACATGATAACCAATTGTTTCCAGGTGTTGCATTTCTATTCAGGAGATACATCCAGACAGAAGCTAGAATCTCTTAGACATAGCCAAATTCCAGGAATTTAACTCTAGTACTGGTCAGTGAAGGGCCAAGCAACCCTGAAGTCAGTTTCTATGGCTAGAGTCATAAGGTCATCATGAAAAAAAATTTCAGCCAGAATCCAGTCTGGTAACCTTGTAGATTGCCTAAGTCAGTTTCCAAGGAAGAAGATTACTGGCAGAAAGTTTAGTAGATGTCCACTTGTATTAGTCTGTTCTCACACTGCTATAAAGAACTACCTGAGACTGCATAATTTATGAAGAAAAGAAGTTTAAATGACTCTTAGTTTTGCAGGCTTAACTGGAAGCATGACTGGGAGGCTTCAGGAAGCTTACAATCATGGTGGAGGGTGAAGGGGAAGCAAGCACATTCTCACATGATGGAGCATGAGAAAGAGAGCAGGAGCAAGGGGGGAAGTGCCACACACTTTTAAAACCACCAGATCTCATGAGAGCTCACTCTCTATCATGAGAACAGCATGAGGGAAATCTGCCCCAATGATCCAGACATCTCCCACCAGGTCCCTCCTCCAACACTGGGAATTACAATTCAACATGAGATTTGGGTGGGGACACAACCAAATTATATCACCACTTCCAAGCCTAACTGAACGCATGTGGCTAAAGGGTAACTTTTCTTAATGTTTTGGGTATACTTCATTATTTAATGTACACATTGATGCTGGATTAATATTTAGGGGTAGAACTTCAACAATGTTATTTTTGGAACTTTTAATAAATTGAAGATTTCTCTACTTAAATCTCTTGAACTATCTAGAGAATAAATTTCAGAACTGTATCCTTATTTAATAATTACTAAAATCTGGCTCTAGCCTTCCAATCAAGTACTATTTTGCACTCCTCCTTGTTTCTTCAGCCAAACTGGAGAACTCCTTAATCACAACCCACTCTCCATGCTTTAGCTATCTGTTTAGTTCACTCAAAGGGTCTTCCCACTCATATACTAATATGCCCAAATCTTATACATTTTTCACAGTTGAAATGTCAACCCCTACAATGACCAACTCCTCACACCAAAAGGTGGCATTATTCTATCATTAAACAGTAACTTTCCTACTGTGTACCTTCACGGCTGCACTAAGGAAACAGTACTGAAGATGATATGCTCCTTTCCTCAAGAGGCAAGTGTTAGCCCTATGAGTATGGGTTCAAGAAAAGGAGCAGCACATGCAAAGCCCTGGGGGTCAGAAGAAGCAAGCATAGCAAGATAAAATGTATGAACCAGGCTACAGAGTAGGTCAGACATGTAAGCAGAAACTATTAATACATAAGTCATTTTAGATAGCCTCTACTTTGTCATGAAGACAATGGTATAATCAGTCATAGAATACTTTGATGCAGGAAAGTAAAATGTGCCCTTGCAATGGTTTCCAAGCTATCTACACAAACTAACAATCATGCATATTCTGCAAATTATAGCTTGATCATCACTTTAAAATACTTAATATGAAAATACTTAATATGCATTATCACAATAACCATATTTATTATTGCAAGAAAAAGGAGAGCTGATAGATTAAGTGTGATTTCAAGTGCTATGACTTGTCAATAGCTTAAAACAGGCTAAATTTTGCAAAAAGAGTGTTTCATTGACAGTGACCATCAAGAATATAAGATCTTCATTGAAGGCTCTTGATCAGGAATTATATGGAGCATTTTAAGCACAAAACTCTATATGAAAAGTCACATAGAACTTCCAATTTCTAGTTCTACATATAAGGAGATGGGAAGTTACCACTTTGTCCTAATAACAAGTAAAACATATCTTAATAAATCTAAAAGAATATAAATCATATAATGTCTGCTCTCAGACTGCAGTGGAATTAAACTGCCAATCAGTAACAGAAAGATAGCTAGGAAATCCCAAAATCACGGGAGATTAAACAACACACCTCTAAGTAACACAGCAAAGACAAAAATAAAAGAGCAAAAAAAAAAAAAAAAAGACATCTCAAGGGAAATTTTAAAATATTTTGAACTAAATGAAAATGAGAGCATGACTTACCAAAAACAAGCCAAAGGCCTTACCAAATGCTTTACCAGAGAATAAATACAGATGGCAAATAAGCATGTGAAAAGATGCTCCACATCATATGTCCTTAGGAAAATGCAAAATCACACAAGGAGTTGTCATTGCACACCTATGAGAATGGCCGAAATCCCGAACACTGATAACACCAAATGCTGACGACGATGTGGAGCAACAGAAACTCTCATTTATTGTTGATGGGAATGAAAAGTGGTACAGCCACTTTGGAATATAGTTTGGCAATCTCTTGCAAAACCAAACAATCCAGCAATTGTGTTCATTCGTATTTACCCAAAGGAGTGAAAACTTATATCCACACAAAAACTTGCATACAAATGTTTATAGCAGCAGCTGTTGGAGGCGGAAAGAATGAGGGTTGTGATCAACTCAGTATGCCACTGGAGGCTGTATGAGTAAGCAGCAAACTGTTTCTCATAAATGCAGAATGTTGGCAAACTGACAAACTGCATATGCCACCCAGAAGGAATGCTGAAGGCAGTCACGCCCCTAATCTTGTGATTAAGTACATCTGAAGTCTGTTAGTAATAACATGAACCTGTGATCAATTAAGCAGCTGACCAATCGTTACCTTCTCCTCCCTGCTCTTGCTACCCAATAAATAAGAAGGGCTATAGAAAGCTCAGGGTTGCTGCCTTTGCTCACTAGAAGCTGGGAGCTCTCTTCTTCTTCCTCTGACCCCTGCCTTTAAAACAGTTTTGCTTTTTTTTTTTTTTTTTGAGATGGAGTCTCGCTCTGTCGCCCAGGCTGGAGTGCAGTGGCGCGAACTCGGCTCACTGCAAGCTCCGCCTCCCAGGTTCACGCCATTCTCCTGCCTCAGTCTCCCGAGTAGCTGGGACTATAGGCGCCCACCACCACGCCCATCTAATTTTTTGTATTTTTAGTGGAGACGGGGTTTCACCATGTTAGCCAGAATGCTCTCGATCTCTTGACCTCGTGATCCACTCGCCTGGGCCTCCCAAAGTGCTGGGATTACAGGCATGAGCCACCACGCCCGGCCTAAAACAGTTTCTTTTGTCTTAAGTTTTCATTTCTACGTTCGTCTGTCTTCATTCAGTCTTGACGGTCTCAAGTAATAACAGTAGTAACTGTTGTAGTGACAGTTTCAAGAAGTAATTGTGGCAGTCAGCCACAAGCAGCTTTATTCATAATCATCAAAACTTGGAAGCAACTAAAATGTTTTTCAGTAGGTGAATGGATAAACTTTGGGACATCCAGACAATGAAATATTATTCAGTGCTTAAGAAATGCGCAGCGTGGTAAATGGATCCAAATCTTTGAAATGAAGGGTTTTTTTTCTATCAACTAATGAGCAAAAATGTTGCTTTTCAACCATTTCTGATTTTCACAAACTTCACATGTTCCTTATGCATTAATTCAAGAATGGTTAAAAAAAAAAAAGAAAGAAAAAGAAAAAAAGGAAGGAAGGGAGAAATGAGTTACCAAGCCATGAAAAGACATTGAGGAAACTTCATTAATTTAAAGACGCCAATTTGAAAAGGCTACATGCTTATGATTCCAAGTATATGACATTTTGGAAAAGGCAAAACTATGGAGACAGCAAAAGGGTCAGATGTTGTTCGGAATCAGGAGGTAGAATGAATAGGCAGAGCACAGAGGATTTTTAGGGCAGTGAAACTACTCAATGTGATAGTACTATAACGAAGGGCTTGGGTTTACTATCTGGTTTGCATGGTTTTGTTGGATCATTAGCTGTTGTCATGTAGATAAGAGGCTCACATGTCATTACACATTTGTCCAAATCCATAGACTGTACAACACCAAGAATCAACCCTAATATAAACTGTGGACTTTGAGTAATAATGATACGTCCATGTAGGTTCATTGATTGGAACTAATGTACCACTCTGGTGGAGAATGTTGATAATAAGGAAGGCTATGGATGTATAGGGGCAGGGAATACATGGAAACTCTCTGTAACTTCTGCTCAATTTTGCTGTGTACCTAAAACTACTCTAAAAAGTAAAGCTTATTTTCCTTTTGCTACGCAAAGCAAAGAAAAAGTTATATAAAACTCTACATAAGTGATAACACTGATGCTTCTCATTTAAAATTTTAAAAATCTTTGGAAATTTTATATAATTCAATATATGAGGCCTTTCCTAATTCATGTTTTTTAAAAATAATGGCTATATGATATTTTTAACATAATGAATTCTTTTCATCAAGCCTCAAATAGGGGCGCCAAAATACTTCCCATTTATCCCAGGATGACATAGACATATCACTGTTTTCTATTTGTGCTCAGATTGAAAACAGTTGAAGTATTTGGGGGAAGAAAGAAATCCAGACCCAAAGGAATACACCATTTCATAAATACAGAATTAACTGATTTTGTTAACTGAATAAAGCAAATATGATTCAAGTAGAAATGCATGTAGGTAGCCAGCAAATGGCTACAGATCTACAGAGTATCATCTGTTTTTTTAATATAAAATTTGAGTTATTTTAATGAACTGAACTCTCACTCATACATAAAATGCCTTTCTCAGGATTCGGAACTCTGGGTTTTTACACTCTCTTTCTCCTTGCTAATTCAAATGCAAGAAAGGTACATTCCTCCGACATCTTGCAGAACTCCTTAGGGCATCGGAATCACAGCAGGTCAAATGGCAAATGCAGAAGCCAGAGGCAGAAGGAAGATGGGTGTGTTCAGTGGCCTGTCAGAAGGCAGGTGGCTGATTGTCTCAGGGATTAGCAGGGAGTGAAATGAGCCCACGGAGGTGGTAGGGGCCAGTAATAAGGGTTCTTGAATGTCACCTTAAGAATTCTGAAAGTGATGAGAAGGGCTTCAAAGTCATGCAGGCAGATGAGCCCTCAAAATTGGGGTTTAGCCTAGAAGGGTTCTTGGCTTTGCCCAGGAAAGAATTCAAGGGCAAGCCGGTGGTGTTAGACAGCAACTTGTACTGAAGTGGCAGTGTACAGCAGCAACAGAGGTATTGCTCCTTGCAGAGCAGGTCTACTCCACAGGCAGTGTGCCCAGAATAGCAGCTCAGAGGCAGGGCTGCAGTCATATTTATACCTATTTTTAATTATATGCAAATTAAAGGGTGGTTTATGCAAAATTTCTAGGATAAGGGTAGTAACTTCTGGGTTGTCAGGTCATTGCCATGGAAAAGTTTGGTAGCCGCTGGGCGTTGCCATGGCAATGGTAACTTGATGCACTGGTGGGGTTCTTATGGATAGCTGCTTCCACCTGGGTCCTGTTTTAGCTAGTCCTCCATCTGGTCCAGTGTGTGAGTCCCCACCTCCAGAGTAGATTCCCACCTATTATCTTAAAAGGGATAGTTCCAGGGGGTTACAAGATAACATTTGACTTTTAGATTAAAAACAGGTTGTTCTCCTTCATCATATAGTCCTCAGATGGTGATTTCAGTGTTAGAGGACTGGGTCGCTTGAGGTTGCTATAGTTGATTGTTAGAATACTGGGAGTAAGGAGGTATTTAGTGGGCCAGTGAGGAAAAAGTAAGACCCTAGTAACAGAATATGGCTAGTTGAAGGCTTTTTTTCCTTACAAACACAACTCCCAGCTCTCTTTCTTGTATGTAGGGTGTATCTGTAGATTGGTATCTTGGCCAGTTTCTAGTGCCCGCAGAGAAACATAGCTCTGCCAGCACCTTGATCTTGGACTTCAAGCTTCCAGAATTGTGAGACAGTAACTTTCTGCTGTTTAAGTCCCCAGTTTGTAGGACTTTGTTATGGCAGCCCTAACAGATTAATACAGTGACAGCAAACCACAGTACTATTTGCAGTATCTAGAACTTCATCATCAATATAAATCACGGATATTTTCAAAAAATGTTCCAGGGGTTACAGATATTTCAAAATATCATTTATGAGTATCAGTACTTTGAAATCACAGTTAATAAACCACTGCTAAATCATATTATTTAAGGTGTTAATAAAGGAGTGCATATATTTTATACCAAATACAATTAAGGCTACAGTGCTTACACATCATCCTAGTTTTAGTAAATGGTCTGCAAATACTTACTTTGCATCAGTAGATATCTGAGGCTTACTCTGGCACTCTATTCTTTTGTAATTCTTTATCAGGCTTGCTCTGACATTCTGTTCTTCACAATTCTTTATCAAAATCTCCTATATTTACCCCTGACAGTGTAGCTAGCCCATATGATTAGTCACAACCTTCAACATTCCTCAGTTAGTGAAGGTTAGATTAACCTTCAGTTTCACTACAGAACCACTGTTTGGGGCAGCTGCTCTGAGCCCAACTGCTAGGTGACACAGAAGAACAGGCTCAACTCCCTGACGTGGAGGAGCACCCTTCCCTGGAATGTGTCACAGTTTTTATCCATGGCTTGGTAATTGACACAAACACCGTAGCCTACTGTATACCCTGAATGAGGTGCCAGCAGCTGCCAGCTTTTGTTGATGTTTTGGAAGAGAGGATGCCTGTGGAAGCCTACTAGGAGTGATGCAGACTAGGGGGAGCTGTAGCTCAAACATGCACAGAGACAGTGGTGAGGAGCCACTCTTCCTGGAGGAAACTACAGAGATTCCCATACTAGAGATGGCAGGCAGGGATTAGGGGACTGGGAAATGGAGCAGAAATCAGGCTGATCAATGAAAGGACTCTCCACAGAGGCTTGATGCTGTGGTTCCCCTTCTCTACTCCAGCAAACATTAGTGGGGTAGAGATGCAGCACTGACTTTTCTGTAGACAGGGCCATCCTTAGGGCATGCAAGGCCCCAGCAAACTGGGTATGTGTGTGTGTGTGTGTGTGTGTGTGTGTGTGTGTATATTCTTTGTCTATGAAAACAATTTGATTTAAAAATGCATTACACAACTCATGGTCCCATGTGAGGTATAGTCATTTATGAATAAAAATTTTTTAATGAGTATCAAAAGACACTAATTTGTTCATTGCCTAATCATTCTACATGAAGATTCTTCATCGTGTCCAGGCACCATCTCTTCCTTTTTGGAGTCTAGATCCTCTGTGTTTTTTATTGTCAAATGTGCACAATGTGCTGTTCTTGGTTAATTTTATATCTTCTCCGACCAGACAAAAATGACAACACTGCTATTACAATGCATGGCCCTTTAGAACCTGTTTATACAAGTTGAAAGGATAGAGATTTTCTTGCCCTTCTGTTTTCCTAATACCATGTATTCATTATTAATTATATCATTTCCCACAGTGTTGATCATCTATTGTACCACCCATGAACAATGGCTTCCTTCCAATGACACTCAAAGGTTGCTTCTGTGCTTCATTGATAACCACAATTACAAATATTATCCAAGCGGGAAAAATCTAAATAATATTTCCTCTTCTAGTCTTGTTAAATTTACCATTTGGAATCTATAGTATGTCTTCATCTGAACTCTTTAGGCCATAATCAACACATGGCTAAAATGGGATTTCTTTCCATGGGGCCTGCATCCCTGCTTTCTACCCCTTGTACCCAGTGGGAGGTCAGATCTTATGAGGAGTGATAGAGCAGCTCCATCCCCACGAGAAATGTCCACCCATCTGCTAGCATGGCTTAAGATGAGCCCAGGAGAATGCCCCATTTCTATATGCATTGGAGGCAGGGCATTGAAAGGAGGGGCCCATTGGTGTTTTAGAAATCTCTGGGGAGAGAACAGCCTGATACATGGGCTGGAGCCAGTGGTGGGGGTGGGGTTGGGGGTGGGGGCTGGGAGGCTGAAAGAGGAGGTGACTGGCCTGGGTGCCATAGTAGGAGCACACAGTATAAAGGACATCTGTTACCACCCTCCCCATCCTCATGTGTCATAGTCCACAGGTGCCAGATGTAGCATCACAGTTGGAACACCAGGCAAGGGCTGTCACAAAGGCCCACACATATTTGCAAGCCCCAGAGTTGGGAATGAACAGTTGGTAGCCTAGAGCCCTGAACTGGAAACATGTAATAATCTCTAGTAAATCTAACGGAAAAAATAAAAGAATCTCAGTTGCTTTAATACAGCATAATAAAAAGAAATACCATTTCATAAAAACCATACCCCAAATAATTGGACTTGGTGGATTCAGGAGGAGCTGCCAAATGGAGTAGGGTCATTTCATCATATGTCAAAGTATCACTTGTAAGATGGCTGGGATAGACTGAATCCTGCCCCCCCAAAATTCATATGCTGAATCCTGAATCCTCAGTGTGATAGTATTTGGAGGTGGGGACTTTGTGAGGTGATGAGGCTTAGCTGAGTTCATGAGGGTGAGGTCCTCCTAATGGGATTAATGTCCTTATAAAAACAGACCTAAGAGCTTTCTCTCTCTCTCTCCCCGCTCCATGTGAGCACACAACCAGAAGGTGGCCGTCTGCAAGCCAGGCTGTCTGTCAATAGCTGTAGGATGCTTAGAACAGTTCCTGGCATGTAGTAAGCTATGTGTTTATTAAATTAAATATACACAAATAAAAGTAAAGCACCTTTGAACTGTCTTTTATGTGTATATTATGTTTAAATATTATTTTTTGATGACAGAAAACAGTTTAGATCTAATGCCTCAGGTGTTAGTTTTTCTCCTTTTCCTTTTCTATACTATTACTCGGTTGTTGTTAATTTATATATTATTTTTCTCTGCCTCGTAATTCATCAGTGATACTGAAGCCTTTATGTCATGGTTGGTTTCCCTTTCCTCATCCAAAAACTTACTAAAGAATAGAAAGCATTTATAATAAGAAAGAAAAATATTCATTAATAATTTAGATTTTCCTATACACCTATGTGTGTGTATTTTATTTTCCCTTTTGTCAGAGTGCAATTTTATCTGTAACCAATGATGTTATCACACAATTGAATAAATCAGCATTTTTATTTAGAAGACAACATTTTTCAAGTAGAGAAAAATTGATCCTCTGAATATTCATTTCTTTATCTTAAATAAATAATGGTTATCTTTGCAAACACAGTGATTGCAAGACATGTACTTCTGCTTTCTCTTAACCTAGAGTTTTGTTGTTGTTATTTCATTGGTTTTGTTTTGTTTCATAGATAGCACATTTAGAACATTAGGAATGTTATCTTGATTTTGTCCAAATCTTTGAAGGTCCTCCCAGATTGATATATGCAATTAGTGGTCTTTTTATACTATGCTAATACTATGGAAATTGCATTGCATTTGAGAGATATTATTGCCTTTGTATTTAAGAATTAAATATACAAACTGATCTTCATCAACTTTTTCTCTACGGAAACTGGGTTCTATTCAAAATATATCAGGGTTATTTTCAATATACTCATTTCCTATCTCAGGAAATATGGAGATGCCAAACTGCCTCTATGCCTAAAAAGCTACAGCCCCTGTTTAGGATGCCTGGATTTCACTTGGACTCCCCATTCCCCATCTTTTAATTCATGGGCTTTTATTTAGTGGGGAAGAACTCATTGCCTTTAGTGAAAGAATTTCACTAAAAGTGAAGCTTCAAATGCTTGGTCAAAGTGGAGGTTATAGCTATCGTTTTTTGTACAAGGAAAATAAAGAAAAGAGATAGTGTATTAGCCTGTTCTCACACTGCTATAAAGAAATACCCAAGACTAGGTAATTTATAAATGAAAGAGGTTTAATTGACTCACAGTTCCACATGGCTGGGGAGGCCTCAGGAAACTTACAATCATGGTAGAAGGGGAAGCAAGCACATTTCACATGGCGGCAGGAGAGAGAAGAAAAGTTCAGGTGAAACTGCCATTTATAAAACCATCAGATCTCATGATAACTCCATCGCTATCACAAGAACTGCATGGGGGAAACTGCCCCCATGATCCAATCACCTCCCAACAGGTCTCTCCCTTAACACCTGGAGATTACAATTCAAGATGAAATTTAGGCAGGGACACAAAGTCTAACCATATCAGATAGGAACCTGAACCACAGCAGGTAGAGGCTGGTCTTGGGAACTGTCCCATCCAGAGCTCCCTCACTTCCCTGAGTGAGCTTTGGGGAACCAGAACATGGCTTTGTATTTATCCACCAGAGGGTGGCCATGCCCTGTTACTGATGGAAGAATCTGGGGAGGTCAGAGATTTGCCTACAGAGCTGCAGGGCTCTGCTGCTGGTCACCCACGCTGCAAAACCCAAACCTTCCTCTACTGGGCCCTCAGTTTGCGCACATAAGGAAACCCATTGCCTTCCTTTAATCAGACTAGGGCTCTAACCTAGTGAACTATCAAAACAGAAACGTAGACCACTCTTCCTTAAGTTTGAAGGTGTGCAGTCTTCCTCCTGTCATTAAAAAAGAAAACCTGTGTCCTAAGGATCCAACCTTGGTAACAACCAGCAACAGCCACACATACGTGAAGTTCTCTTTATTTTCATGGCTCTGCAGATCTTCTCAAGCATGGACAGCTCATTGTCAATGATGTTCTGAGCAGGTTAGGGACAGAAGGCAGGGGGCGCTCCTCCTCCTGAACCACAGGTAGAGGTTAACTTTACCTCTGTTTGTCATTGTATATCCCCATCAGAGCTGAATTATATAGTCCCCAGGCAACTATTAATTTAAAAGAGACAAGGAATATTTAATTCTCCGAATAAGAATCCAACAAAGCAGGGCCGGGTGCGGTGGCTCACGCCCGTAATCCCAGCACTTTGGGAGGCTGAGGCGAGTGGATCACGAGGTCAGCAGTTCGAGACCAGCCTGACCAACATGGTGAAACCCTGTCTCTACTAAAAATACAAAAAAATAGCTGGGCGTGGTGGCGGGCACCTGTAATCCCAGCTACTTGGGAGGCTGAGGCAGGAGAATCACTTGAAACCAGAAGGCGGAGGTTGCAGTGAGCCGAGATTGCACCACTGAACTCTAGCCTGGGCAACAAGAGCAAAACTCCGTCTCAGATTAAAAAAAAAAAAAAAAAGAATCCAACAAAGCTATGGATTTTATCTTATCCTTTTTGTTTGTTTTTGTTTTGAGTCAGATTCTCACTCTAACCCAGGCTGGAGTGCGATGTTGCGATTTCGGCTCACTGCAACCTCCACCTCCCAGGTTCAAATGATTCTCTCGCCTCAGCTTCCCGAGTAGCTGGGACTAGAGACGCCTGCCACCATGCCCAGCTAATTTTTGTATTTTTAGTAGAGACGGGGTTTCACCATGTTGGCCAGGCTGGTCTCAAACTCCTGATCCCAAGCGATCCTCCCGCCTTGGCCTCTTAAAGTGCTGGGATTACAGGCATGAGCCACCGCACTGGGCCTTATTTTATCCTTTGAAAATGAGAAAGAAAAATCTAAAGCTTTTCCTTAAATCTAAGACCCGCAAGACTTATATCTTTGATGAAACAGATATGTGAATTTAAATATTTTATCCAGGGCTAAAAGTATTAAAACTACCAATCAGAAACCCATATTTTCAGGAGACAGGTTGCCAACGATGGGATGACTTTTACTCAATAGTGGTTCTGAGTGTTTGTAGGAGGAACCGGGAGAAACACATTTTAACCAGGCTAGCATACAGTTAAGCAGCCACTGCAGGCTTTCCCTTACTGGAAGTCCCACTCAGAGAAAAAGGCCTTTGCGCTAAGTTTAGGTAATTTGCAATGAGACAATATGCCACACTGCTACCAAGGAAACAATGATTTATTGTAGGGAAAAAATTCAAATCAAAACAATAGAACTATTCATTGTGGAAAAATTATTAAAACAAAAACCTCTGTGTTATGTTTAGGTTTCAGGAAAAATAGTAATCTTCTCGATTTATAACTTCTGATGCCTCAGAAAGAGGAACAAGTAATAATTGTTCATCTTTACTATGGGAAGTACAGGAATTTTACTAAATTTGAGAGTTCTGTCATTAATTTTTAAGACTACTTATTGTTTTATATCTTTAATTCCTTAAAACAAGATGTCTCAAACTGTAAAATTCAGCATAAAGGGTACTGATATATATTTCATAATAGATAAGCCAAGAGTGAAATAATACAAAAACAGATACAGTGCTATATGAAAACTTAATCTAGGATGAACATAATATCTCAATTTATTAGAAATTAATGTTGTATTTTAAAAATGAGGCCAGCATAAATGTATACAGTTTTGGAAGAAAGATTGCTGCACACACCATTTGTATAAGGAAAATTCAGGTGGACTATATACTAAAACTTAAATACACATATATGATTTTATTCCCTTTTGTGTGTATCACAGTAAAAATTGGGAATAACAATTGGATAAACTTCAACATAATAAAACTCAGAAAATATAAAGAAAAATAATAATGTAATATTAAAAATTATGTGGCAAAAGTAAATGTAAGCCAGAGAGAAAATATTTGCAACTGATTAATAGTCAATATAAAATGAATTCTACAAACTGAAAAGAAAAAGACTGTCAAATAAAAAATTGGACAAAAATGAAGCAATAGACAATTACAGAGGGAAAATTGCCTATAGCTAACAAATATATGGAAAGAAGTTTAACCTTACAGGCATTTAGAGATATGAAAATAGAAAATTATAAATTAGTCTCTATTAATCAGATTGGCAAAATTTTAAGCATTCAAAGTTGAAAAGATTTTGGTAAAACAAAGGTATACATCAGTGGTAGAGGTATGAATTTCTACAATGGAAAGTAATTGGAAAGTAATCTGGCAGTTTCTGATAACATTTAAGTATATATAATGCTTAACCTATAAATCTCACTTTTATGATACACATTCTATAAAAATATAGATACATATAAGTGTACACATACATATATGCATGATATAGTCTGGATATTTGTCCCCACCCAAATCACGTATTGAATTATAATCTCTGATGTTGGAGATGGGACCTGGAGGGAGGTGACTGAATCATGGAGCCGGATTTCTCAGGCATGGTTTAGCACCATCCACTTGGTAGTGTTCTCATGATAGTGAGTGAGTTTTCATTAGATCTGTCCATTTAAAAGTGCATGGCACCACCCCACCACCACTCTCCCTTTTGCTCCTGCTTTTGCCACGTGACATGTCTTTTCCCCCTTTGCCTTCCACCATGATTGGAAGCTTCCTGAGGCCTCTCCAGAAGCAGATACGCTATGCTTCTTGTACAGCTTGCAGAACCATAAACCAATTAAACCTCTTTTCTTATAAATTACCCAGTCTCAGGTATTTCTTTATAGCAATGAAAGAATGACCTAACATAGTACATATATAAGTACATCATCACATATATAAAACATTTTCATTGTAGACAATAAACATATAAATAATAAAGGAAATTGTCCCTAGTTTGAAGATAACCTTGAATCTATAGAGTGAATAGGGTCACAGACTTTCAGACAGAATTGATAAAGCAAATACATCTACCTAGGATTATTCTGGAAAAAAAAATCTCTGAATTCAGAGGCAGAAAGTTGTACTTTATAGAAGTTTTCGGTTACTAGGTTTATTAGATCTTTTCATGTTCCTTAATAGAAAATACATTCTTCACACTATTCTAAAAACTATATATATACTTTTTTACATTATTTTGCTTTTATAACTTACTGTCTTCTGCTACCCAGTTCCAGAGATTTGAGGTATAAATACGCCATCTAGAAGGCACTTGGAACCTTCACAGCTGACAATAGTTCACATTTCTGAAATACTAAAAATTCAAGCAAGTGTATCAAAATATCAAAGAAAGTTATCACATTGTATTGCTAATGAATATGTACTTTTTCATATATGGTTATTGGAGGGTAAGGTATTTTTTTCTTTTAAACAGCTAAGTGGACTTTGATCAGTTATGGCTATGTCTCCATCTAGTGGTAGGTAAGTACTCTAAGGATTTGCACAGTAAGTGAGGCCATTGTCACACTGAAACAGCTGAGGTGCTGAATACATAGGAATTCTGTGGTTTTTATTGGGTACACATCATCAGGGTCACCACAATTTGTCTTTTTTTTTTCTTTTTGAGACAGAGTTTTGCTCTTGTCACCCAGGCTATAGTAGTGCAATGGTGCAATCTTGGCTCACTGCAACCTCCACCTCCCGGGTTCAAACAATTCTCTTGCTTCAGCCTCCTGAGTAGCTGGGATTACAGGCACCTGCCACCATGTCCAGCTAATTTTTGTATTTTTTTTTTTTTTTTTTTTTTAGTAGAGACGAGGGTTTCACCATGTTGGCCAGGCTGATCTCGAACTCCTGACTTCAGATGATCTGCCCGCCTCGGGCTCCCAAAATGCTGGGATTCGAAGTGCAAGCCACCACACCTGGCCTTGCTTTTAATACAGGATGAAATAATATTTTCTGCTGATGATAACTTGCATTTAAATTCCTACTTGCAAATTTAGTAACATCAAGTTTTTGAGGTATTCACAAAGTCTTTTCAAACATTAACTAAAATTCAAAAGTTTAAATATATATTAAAAAAACTAGTGGCCCTTATTTATGGATTAGTTAGCTACATAGGCCTCTTATCTGTTCTTCCTGAACTTCAGAGCCAAGACTTCTTATCCACACTTATTTATAGCCCTCAGACCTTTTTAAATATGAAGTCCCAGGTATAACATTTATATACCTTTGTGATGACTCTCCATTTACTAACTGAACCTTTTGAGCCTTCATTCTGTCATCTGTAACAATGTCAATAAACACTTCACAAACCTATAATACTTTCTGCATTTATATACATTGTCTCATGTAATCCTTCCCACCACCCCCTGAGGGGGATAGAGAAAGTGTTTACTGTCTCTATCTTATGATGAGGAAGATGTAGTTCAAAGAGATCTTATAACTCATCCAAACTCAATAAACTGACAAATGGCAGAGCTAGAAATTTATATTAGATTTCTTGATTCCAAGTTCAATGTTCTTTGTAAGATTTGCCCCATTTACAACTATGATGATTAAGGGAGCTAATGTTTGTATAAATGCTTAAGTCCAATAGAACCATAATTTATTGTAAAATTACATAATAAAGATAATGAGGTCCCTGAATGTGAGACACTTATGGGGAGATCAGAGAATCCTTCATAAAAGCATATATATCAGGCTGAATTTAGCTGACCCTCAAAATGAAAATTCTCCAGAAATCTGAAGCCTATATAATCTATTAGATATATATTTTTCTATCTTCCCACTCTCTGTGGCCATCTTCTTAAAACATTACTAGGTGAATTATTGCTAAGTTTTCTTACATAAATTAGATGAACAACAAGAAAAAAGCTACATAACTTAACAAACGTATGTCTTAGTAGCAAACAACAACAACAAACCCAAACTAACTGAATGCCTGTATGTGTTGGTTGTGTGTATAAGGCGCTGTACGTAAGAAGTGTGTATGTTGGGGCTGGAGTCTGCTATAAAGAACAGTAATGTCAGATTCTTTCCCTTGAAGTTTTTGTTTCCCCTTCTCCGCCACTTCCCTTTCCCATTTCACTCTATTCCCATCAAAAGGATTCTGACTTGCATAAAACGACAGAACCACAGGAATGGGAAAGGGAAATAAAAACGGAGTCACATTTTTTTGCTCCTGTTTCATGACATCTGCACAAGTCGCCTTCCAGTCTTTAATTTCAGTGGAACCTTTAAGTACTTGTTATATGTCTTTGTAGAAAAACAGATTTCGACCATATGCTCTATGCAGAAGGGAAGCTGAATTGCAACCTCAATTTCTCCTAATTTCTGCCTCCTGACCACCCCCTCCCCACCCAATCCATGAACATCTTTACAAGTATCAGAAGCAGGCCAGGCATAGTGGCTCATGCCTGTAATCCCAGCACTTTGGGAAACCAAGGTGGGAGAATTCCTTGAGGAGGGGAATTCAAGACCAGCCTGGACAACATAGAAAGACCCAACCCCCTCCGCCGCCGCCCCACCACAAGAAGTTTTTTCTTTTTCTTTTTCTTTCTTTCCTTCTTTTTTTTTTTAATTAGCCAGGCATGGTAGTGCGCATATGAGGTCCCAGCTACTGGGGAGGCTTAGGTAGGAGGATTGCTTGAGCCCAGGAGTTTGAGGTTAAAGTGAGTTGTGCCACTGTACTCCAGCCTGGGCAATAGAGTGAGACCCTGTCTCTAGAATAATAATAATAATAATAAGAAGAAGAAGAAGAAGAAGAAGAAGAAGAAGAAGAAGAAGAAGAAGAAGAAGAAGAAGAAGAAGAAGAAGAAAAAGAAAAAAAGAAGAAGCAAAACCCAAAGAGCTAATCTCATACTTGCTCTCTTTCTTTTCTGCCACTACAGAAAACAGAAGAGGACTAGAATTACTTGTGGTCCTAATAATCTAACCAGGCATACTCAAAACTAATCGCAAATGTTTCTTTTAGGATGTATACAAGGCCTAAAATTGACTTTGGAAACATTGAGTATCTTCCCTTCCCATCACAGGCAATAAACAAATGTGGGCTGGTGCACATCTTTTCCTGCCCCTGAAAAGGTTTTATTACCTCTGGACAAGTGATTTCCTAACCTGAGGTCAATATTATCTTAATCATATTTCACAGATAGGCCAATGCTTAGCATATTCTCCAAATCACAAGAAATTTTGAGTTGTACTTAGAAAAGACATTAGGTTGAGTGTCAGGAAATCAGATTCCAGCCCCAGCTGTCATTGGCAGATATGATCCTGGGTGGGTCATTTACCACTCAGGACCTTAATTCCCTCTCTTGAGAATTTAAGAACTTAAAGTAGAGAATCTCAAAGCTGTCTGCTAACATGACTATACTTTAAGCAAGAACTGGAAATGAGTTGCTGACCTTTCCTTCATAGTTCCTGGTAGTGAAATGAATCAATTCTATTGAGCAATCATTGCAGAAGAACCTGCTGTGAAGATAACTGATGCAAGCTTGTTAAAAGCTCTTCCAAGAGTGGATCCCACATTTCCCTTACATTTAACGTGTCATTTAACATAGTTAATCTTTGTTTTCTCAAGAGTGAAATGGATAAACACTCAACTTCAGAGGTGTTTTTTTCTGCCTCTTGAGAATCACAATTATCATTGCTGGTCTTCCTTTTTCTTTTTCTTAGTAAACTTTAATCTAGATTTTAAAGTTTCATGGAAATAGATATTTGGGTTCTTTCAGGTTTTTTTCTGATATACAATTCAAGTTTTTTCCTTTGAGGTACTCTTCTGGGCTCCCTGTCTGAAAGAAGAGTTGCCTATGGATAGAACGTTGCTCTCTGTCCTCAATTAGCCAACAAAGCCCATCAAGGCTGCCCTGCTCAGTGCTAAGGCCATCTCGCTCCCAAAACCTGCCCTCACCCCTTGCTACTTGTCCCTCCAGTGATCCTGGATCCTTTTGGAGAGAGGTTGTCCTAAGAGCCCAATAGAGGAATCAGGCACCCGGATCAGTTGTTTCCCTGCTGTGTTCCCTAAGTTAATGTCATGCTCTCCTACACCCACATTTTTGTCCCTCCACACTTTTACAAAAACTCTCAAAAACAATATCCAGAGTGCCATGGTTTCCAAATGATTTATTCCTTTGCAGAAGACCCCAAGAAGTCCCATCTTCTTCAGGGAAATCTGGGACAATCCAATTGCATAAATTTCCAGCTAGGGGTATCTAGGGATTTTCTTAAAGCAAGGAGTTATGAAGGGCTTCCAACTGCTCCTGAAGTTTCCAACTATGAGGCCAACCAGAGACTCTTTCAGTCCCACACTACATGAGCCCTCTGGGAGATACCCACTCCTTCTGGAGCCATAAGCAAGCAGGAACAGGTTTTAGGGCACTCACCAGCCCCCACCTCCTTCTCACAGAAGGGTCTTCCTGCCCCTGCATCCCACTCTACTGTGGCTTCAGATTCTGATACTGTCCCTGGGTGGTCCCATAACAGCCACCTGAGAGTACCACCATTCATTTCTCCTCCATTCCTACTCCCATTTATAAGGTTTTGTTTATTTTGCTGGTTGTTATATGTTTATTATATCAGTGTCAATACATCTTTGTATATCTGAATTAATTATAACAAATAAAATGGAAAAGGATTGGAACCACTTTATCATTTTCCACACTAGCTAATGAAAGCATTGCTTCTTCGAGGAGATACAACTTCTTACTGAGTTTTTCTAATGCTATATTTCTAATCAGATTAACAGAGAAAATAAAAAATAGCTGCTAGTCAAGAGATCATTTACACACTTGAATATCTAACAATTATCTTGAGGCAAAAAGGTAAAATTTTGTCTTAAGTTTCATTTTAAAGAAATTAAACTGGCCAGGTGCAGTGGCTCATGCCTGTAATCCCAGCACTTTGGGAGGCCGAGGCGGGCAGATCACCTGAGGTCGGGAGTTAAAGACCAGCCTGACCAACATGAAGAAACTCTGTCTCTACTAAAAATACAAAATTAGCTGGGAGTGGTGGCACACGCCTGTAATCCCAGCTACTCGGGAGGCTGAGGCAGGAGAATTGCTTGAACCTGGGTGGCGGAGGTTGCAGTGAGCCAAGATCGCACCATTGCACTCCAGCCTGGGCAACCAGAGTGAAACTCCGTCTCAAAAAAAAAAAAAAGAAAAAAGAAAAAAATTAATATCATTTCTTGTGTTCTTTTCAACAGATATTCATTCATAACTGTATTAGGCTGGGGTTCCATTAGGAGCCCTGGAGCGTACAAATTAAAATAGCATGCTCCATGCCAGTACTTTACAATCAAATAAGGATATAATAAATTGCTATACTAGCACTTGAAATTTACTTGGGAAACAAAGCATAACATAAATAATATATTCATGAAAAGTTAAAGACTAATGGGAGAAAGTACTTACAAACTATGCATCCAACAAAGTTCTAATATCCAGAATCTATAAGGAACTTAAACAGTTAAACAGGCAAAAAACAACCCCATTAAAATATGGACAAAGGACAAGAACAGATACTTCTCAAAAGAAGAAATACAAGGCCGGGTGCGGTGGCTCATGCCTGTAATCCCAGCACTTTGGGAGGCCAAGGCAGGCGGATCACGAGGTCAGGAGATCGAGACCATCCTGGCTAACACGTGAAACCCTGTCTCTACTAAAAATACAAAAAATTAGCCGGGCGTGGTGGCGGGCGCCTGTAGTCCCAGCTACTCGGGAGGCTGAGGCAGGAGAATGGCAGGAACCCGGCAGGCGGAGCTTGCAGTGAGCCGAGATCGCACCACTGCACTCCAGCCTGGGTGACAGAGCGAGACTCTGTCTCAAAAAAAAAAAAAAAAAAAAAAAAAAAAAGACATATAAGTGGCCAAGAAATGTATGAAACAATGCTCAACATCACTAATCAACAGAAAAATGAAAATCAAAACCATGATGAGATACCATCCCATACCTGTCAGAATGGCTATTATGAAAAACTCAAAAAACAACAGATGCTTGCAAGGCTGTGGAGAAAAGGGAAATCTTATACACTGTTGGTGGGAATGTAAATTGTTTCACCCACTGTGGAAAGCAGTTTGAAGAGTTCTCAAAAAACTTAAAACAGAACTACCATCTGACCCAGCAATCCCATTACTAGGTATATATCCAAAAGAAAATGCATAATCTGATCCTGCAACCCCATTACTTAGGTATATATATCCAAAAGAAAATAAATCATTCTACCAAAAGACATATGAACTTGTATATTTATCACCATGCTATTCACAATAGCGAAGACATGGAATCAACCTAAGTGTCCATCAATGGTGGATTGGATAAAGAAAATGTGGTGCATATACACCATGGAATACTACACAGCCATTAAAAAGAATGAAACCATGTTCTTTGCAACAACACAGATGCAGCTGGAAGCCATTATACTAAGCAAATTAATGCAGGAACAGAAAACCAAATACTGCATGTTCTCACATATAAGTGGGAGCTAAACATTGAGTACTCATGGACATAGACACTCGGGACATGGACATAGACACTCGGGACTAATAGAAGGGGGAAGGAGGCAAGGGTTGAAAAACTAACTGTTGAGTATTATGCTCACTATCTGGGTAATGGGATAATTCAAATCTAAGCATTCCATAATATACCCATGCAATAAAACTGCACATCCCTTGAATCTAAAATAAAAGTTAAAATTATTTGTAAAAAAGAAAAAAGAATGTAACCATTAACAATAAAAAAAGAAGTTAAAGACTATTGACACTTCCTGAAAATGTATGACTCGAGAAATACTATGTTGTACTTAACACTACATATAAGTACACATCAAGGCAACATCATGACAAGGCTGACTTTTGAAGCCATCTCATCCCACACAAAATAATTAGAAAAATGGATACAATGAATCCAAATTAATTTTTAAATGTATCACTGAAATATGTAGAATTATGTGTCAATTATAAATTTAAAAATTAATTTAAAAATACATAACTGAGATTGAAATTAAGAAAGAGAAATCCTGGGCCAGTTGTGATGGCTCACGCCTGTAATCCCAGCACTTTGGGAGGCTGAGGCAGGCAGAGTTCGAGACCAACCTGAGCAACTTTACAAAAAAATACAAAAAATTAGCAGGGCATGGTGGCACGTGCCTATAGTTTCAGTTACTTGGGAGGCTGAGGTAGGAGGATTGTTTGAGCCTGAGAGGTTAAGGCTGTGGTAAGCTGAGATCAGGCCACTGCACTCCATCCAGCCTGAGAGACAGGGTGAGACCCTGTCTCAAACACACACACACACACACACACACACACACACACACAGAGAGAGAAGGGGGGGAGAGAGAGAGATAGAGAGAGAGAGAGAGAAATCCTCGGGGAGAGGAAATAAATAGAATATTGAAAATCAATGTAGTGAGTAAGAGCTAAACCCAGTGACTTATGGAGGAGACAGAATGGGGTAAATCCCTAGGGGGAGGGCCATGATTTTAGCACATACCAGGGTTCTGGATTTGAGTCTAAAGTCCCATGCAACACTGGCACCTAGAAATGGGCTCTTTAATAAATCTGACAGCCAGTCCATAAAATGAAAATTAGAATACCCTTACCACTAAGACGATGAAGCAGCAAAGAAGCAAGTCAACTACTCTGTGCTATGGGAGAAAAAAAGACACAGGAAGCACATCTCTGAACCTTGCTAATGCTATTGTGTGAATTTACATTATCCTGTCTATGTGGAAAACCCCAACTGAGAAATTCTTATATAAATTGAAACTACTGGGCCCTTGGTAGAATGAAATGTGCCCCTTGTCACAAGAAACCTCCACAAACCAGTGCACTTGATGCCTGTGGAAAAAACTCCCACTGAAGATGAGTTCTTAGAAAAAATGTACAATCCTCAAGAGGAGACAAAGAACTAGGGAAGAGAGAGCTCTGGGATGCAATGAATTAGAGAAACCACATCTAAAGAAATACAGAGAATAGAAAAATACAAAAATGCTTTAAATTAAGGATATCTACAATATTCAAAGAGAAGAAAGGAGGAGAAATCATAATAGACAGACATATTGCAAAGGATAGGGCATATTTAAGAAAGAACACAACAGAAATTCTAAAAGTGAAAAATAGAGTAATTCACACTTCCACATCCAGACAGCATAATTAGAATCAGACTTTCCCTGCTATCATAAACAATTTAACTGGATAAAATATAAAGTGATTGTTTTCATACATTAATTGCCCCAACAATTGTGCTGCTTTCTTCATAGAGATGAGTTTTGGACCACAACCGAGACAGGGAAGGCCCAAGCAGAGCACAGTGGGCTCCTAGACTTTAAGAGATAGAGATCAAGGTTCAGGGAGTCTGAGGTGGCAGGACTTTCCTGGGGAAAGTACATAATAGAGCCAAAGACAGAAAGAGCTCCAGAAATCTGTCTAAGGGCCACCTCAAGTCATTGTGTAAGAGGGAGCACAGGACTGTGACCTTAGGAGAAGGAAAATAAACAAGGTGAGCTGCATGCATCACAGGAACAACTCGTTACCTACAGACAGTTACCAGGTTACAGCCCAGAGAGCCAGCAGTCTTGAGTTGAGTGGTCAGAGGCTGGGGTTTGGTGGACAAGGGCAGAAGATCAGAGAAGGAGGTGCTGCACAGAGACCTGCAGAGGGGTACTCTCAAGTCTTTGGTTGAGTATATCTACATATGTAGAGGAAGTTACCTGAGGCCAGAGACATAGTCACCAGGAAGACATAGGCAGAAAACTCTTGAAGCTCAACTAGGCTGGGAATATATGGTGTTCTCACTAGCTAGAGTGGAAAGGCCTTATAGCACACGGGGCATCAGGTAGAAAACTAAAGGGGTATTGTCTTAGTACTGAGGCTATGTTCACTCTAGACCAGGGGTGTCCAATCTTTTGGCTTCCCTGGGCCACATTGGAAGAAGAATTGTCTTGAGCCACACATAAAATACACTAACACTAACGATAGCTGATGAGCTATAAAAAAAAATAGCCAAAAAATTTACAAACTTATGTTGAGTTACATTCAAAGCCATCCTGGGCCACATGTGGTCCACGGGCCGTGGGTTGGACAAGCTTGCTCTAGACTAAAGGCTGTTCTGAATCTCTTTAACAAACTTCAGAACAGGGGAAAAAAGCTAACATTTAATATTTTTAAATTGTGGTAAAATATATATCACATAAAATTTAACATTTTAACCATCTTTAAGTATACAATTCTATGGCAATAAGAACATTCACCATGTTGTGAAACCATCACTGCTATCCATTTCCAGAACTTTTCCATTATCCCAAACAGAAATGCTACCCATTAAACAATAAGTCCCTGTTCCCACTGCCTCCATCCCCTGGTAACCTCTACTCTAGGTTCTGTCTCTATGAAGTTTCCTATTCCAGCTACCTCATGTAAGTGGAATCATACAGTATTTGTCTTTTTGTTTCTGGCTTATTTCACTCAGCATGTTTTCAAGGTCCATCCATGCTGTTGCATTTATCAGAATATCATTCTTTTTAAGGCTGAATAATATTCCATGGTACATATGTATCATATTTTAATCCACTATCTGTTTATGGAAATTTGAGTTGTTTCCACTTTTTGGCTATTGTGAAAAATGTTGCTATTAACATTGGTGTCCAAGTATCTGTTAGAGTTCCACTATCAATCCTTTTGAGTATATACCTAGAAGTGGAATTGCTGAATTATATGTTATTTCTGTGTCTAACTTTAACTTTTTGGGGAACTGCCAAACTGTTTTCCACAGCAGGTGCACCATTTCTAATTCCTATCAGCAGCACATAAGGGTTCCAGTTTCTCCACATCCTTTTAAAAAACGCAAGTTAATTTAAGTGTTTAAATTTTTCCTGTTCAGATAGTGAAAAATTCCATTTCATTCCTTCTTCTGCCCTGCACACCCAACCGAAGGCTGTGTGTCAAAGTCCAAGGGACTTATACAAAGTGTTGGGGCTTGAGCCCTTGGGTCCACAAAAGTTATCACTGACATGTTATTTTCTGCTGTCTGACACTTTCCGAGTTGGCAGGTTTCTGTGGCTTCTACACCACACGTGAGACATGAGACATTCTCATAAGGCAGAGGCACCCAGCTCCTGTCAGTTCTACTCTCCAGCTGTAGCATGCTGCCATTTCCCTCTGAGGTCATGCAAGACCTACCACCACCAAAGTCAATCTCAGGTCCCCTCTACTCTGAAATGCACAAGCCTGTCTCTCAACCCCTGGGAATCATTTCGTTCTCTGGAGGGAGTTTCACTGATCCCCTTCTGTTTCTTCCAAACTCCCAATTTCTCTTAAAAATTTTGAAAACATTTATACTCACAAATAAAAGACCGGAAATCTTGCAGATAACTTCTGCTTTTTTACCAACCTTATGCCTTCCCAGAAGTTATGAAGTGCAGTCACAGTGATCAATTGAATGAGGAAGGAAATGGGGGAAATTGGTAGGGCAGGGGTAAGGAGGTCATTGCACTCAAAATATCTAGACAAATAACAAGATTTTAAGCAAATACAAATATAAACACTTAGACATGCTCTGGGAGAAAATTGGAGAAATGTAGCAAGTATAAAGAAACAGAAATTATTCACAATCACACCACCTGAAGTTAACATTTTGATATATAGTCTTTTAATTTTTTCTCTAAGAACAGAGATGTGCCTTGAAACTTGAAGTTCAGGACAGGCGTGGTGATGCACATCTATAATCCTAGCACTCTGAGTGACCAAGGTGGGAGGATGGCTTAAGGCCAGGAGTTTGAGACCAGCCTAGGCAACATAGCAAGACCCTCTCTCCAAAGAAAATTTAAAAATTAGCCAGGTGTACTTGGCACATGCCTGTAGTCTCAGCTACTCAGGAGGATGAGGCAGGAGGATTGCTTGAGCACAGAAGTTTGAATTTGCAGTGAGCTACTGTAGCAGGACGAGCCGTGGACAAAACCTCTCAGACACCAGGTTAAGGAAGGATTTGGCTTTATTTTGCCAGGAGCTTCGGCAGACTCACGTCTCAACGTCCGGGAGCTTCGGCAGACTAGCGCCTCAAGAACCCAGCTCTCTGAAGAATTTATTT
Source organism: Homo sapiens (assembly GCF_000001405.40). NCBI lineage: Eukaryota > Metazoa > Chordata > Mammalia > Primates > Hominidae > Homo > Homo sapiens. The sequence goes on from NC_000001.11 coordinate 207,415,720, forward strand.
GGCCAGGAGCTTCATCAGACTCACGTCTCAAAAACCGAGCTCTCAGACAGTGGGTTAAGGAAGGATTTGGCTTTATTTGGCCGTGTCTGAGAGGTTTTGTCCGTGGCTTGTCCTGCTACACTATGATCATGCCACCACACTCCAGCCTGGGCAACAGAATGAGACCCTATCTCAAAAAAAAAAAAAAAAAAAAAATTCATACAATATATATTGCTTGTCTTTCAGAGTCACCCTTTCTTAAGTAATTAAAGAAAATATTTTATGTGATTTCCAGAAGCCCAGAGCCCTTTCTACTGGTTTTGAGTTTTCTGAATGAAAGAGAACATGCTTACCTTCTTCTGATTCCTCATTTTTTACCCACTGCTTTTGATTTTCTATAGATGTTCTATGCTGTCCAATACCAAGCCATAAGTTACATGTGGCTATTTAAATTTGAGCTAGTTAAGTCTAAATAAAATGGAAACTTCAGCTCCCAGTCACACTAGCCATATTTTAAATATTCAGTAGGCACATATGGCTAGTGGCTATTGTATTAGGTAGTACAGATCTAGAACACTTCATTGTTGTAGAAAGTTCTATTAAACAGTGTGTTCTAGCTGACCTCGACTCAATCTGACTCCTCCTATGCACCTGCTATCATTTCCTTTTATCATCTAGCTCCCATTCCTGTATTTCCCCAAACACCAAAAACACATTGCTGCTGGACATGTTTTTTAAAAAGCATTTTTAAAGGTTTAGCAATAGCAGAAGATTATTGCCAAAAGAAAGCAGAAAAACAAGTTAAAAACAAATAGTAGGTGTCAATGTTGCACAAATTTGCTAACCTGCACTGACCTAGTGTATACATCCAACCAACTAGTTAACCAGTTGGGCCTCAGTTCAGCAACTGATAGGTAAGATAATCATTATTTTTTATCCAACCATTACCTGACTTGGAATAACTATCATGCTCTTTTCTTCTAATTAAAAACATCATATAATATGTAGAATATAAAGGTAAAAATTCAGAGCAGCGAGGCAGGCGGATCACGAGGTCAGGAGTTTGAGACCAGCCTGGCCAATATGGTGAAACCCTGTCTCTACTAAAAACACAAAAATAGCCGGGCGTGGTGGTGGGCGCCTGTAATCCCAGCTACTCAGGAGGCTGAGGTGGGAGAACTGCTTGAACCTGGGAGGCGGAGTTTGTATTGAACCAGAGATCGCGCCATTGCACTCCAACCTGGGCGACCGAGTGAGACTCTGACTCAAAAAAAAAAAAAAAAAAAAATTCCGGAGCAGGTATTCTCATGCAATTAGGAGATGTTTATTGTCACTACAGAAACAACCTTTCACTGCTCCCTGGCCTACTACAACCTTGTTGATCTTTTTGCTGCCTCTCTTTCCTGATCATGTGCTCCAGCATTCTATCTTTCAGGCCATCAACGTAAAAACTAAAAACTCTTGTTATTCTGTCACACTGAATAATTTGGCTCCTGATTTTTTGAAACCTCTCCCTATCTAGACTGGCCTGTGGCCTTGCCTCCCAGAGCAAAAGAACTTCCTTCATCAAGCTTCCCTAAACAAAAGAGCAGTTTTTCCCCAAGAAGAATTTTGCTATTCTGTCATTCTTTTAAAATGCTGAAGTAGCCACTAGAAAATTTGGTTTTATAAATGACTTTTTCTTGTTTCATGCTGCTTTTTTTTTACTTCTCAATGTTTCATAAGTATTTTATTATTTTTGTAAAGGCATGTAATAATATTCCATAGATATACCCTACTTTACTTAACTATCTCTTATGGTTGGGTACGTTTGCAGTGAGCTATGATCGCACCATCACACTCCAGCATGGGCAACAGAGCAAATCCTATTGGCTTTACTGTTGAAACATGGTAGTAATGATCCACATGAAGATACCTAAATAACTTTGTTACAAACCCTACCTACTTAGCATACAGTGGGCAAAGCTGATTAATCTCATATTTAGAAGTTGTATGAACAAGCGCAACATTGCACCTCCTACAACTGTGAGTAAAATAAATGTCGTTCTCATCTTTGCATCTGCCTATAAAGCTTATTTTAATAGAAATGAAGATAACATAAAGACTATATGGTTTACTGACTGATTCTGAATCAGAGAACTTGGAGAAAGAAAATTATATGATCAAGACTTTAAATTCTCAATTCAAGCTTGAATAAAGAACAAGAAATTTTTTGAAGGCCCCCCCAAAATTATCTCACGTAGTCAACGAGTAAACATTTCTTAAAAGAAAAACAAAACAAAAAAAAGAACTAAAGTTATATCCTGTGGGTGACAGACTTACAATGAGAAATGTTTATTTTGAAGAGGCTTTAATGAACTTCCCAAAGAAGTTACCTTGGAGGGGAATGCTGATCCTCATCAAGACCCACCTCCAGCAGCTCTCATTGGTTCTAGATCTATAATTATTTTTAAGTTCTCTCAGCTCCCCAGGCTTGATTTTATGTGTGACCTGGGAGGAAGTATTATATACATGGAAAGAATTTCCAGATTTCTCTTATTTATGTCTGTAGAAATCCAGGGAATATAAATGGGAGTGGATCTTAAACATGTTAGACCAGAGTGAAAGAAATATGTCATATATATATTTTTACCAGGTGAGTGCTAGCATTAGTGCATTTTCAGCATGAGAGCACTAACAAAAGATTCTGGGTTTGATGCATTAGCTTAGACAACTGGGAGTGGCTCTAAAAATCTGCTCCACTGGTTGACTAAAACCTAAACTCAAAGGTGACCTATGCTGAATAGACTGGAGAATGTCAGAGCTTTCTAAGTATATTGTAGAGGAAGGTATCTAACCATAAAGGAAATTTCTGCTTCCAGCAAAGGTGGAAAAGAGGAACTGGGTTTATCCTCCCGCCTACATAACAAAAAAATAGATGACATATAGGAAACAATTATTTGAAAGACATTGGACATCAGATAATGAAGGACTGGGATCCCTGTGAGATGGGAAACAAATGATGTAAGACTTATGATTGCCCTACTTTACTGTCTTGAAAGAATCTCCAGACTGCTGCACAGGGAAGGGGAATGAAAGTGGAGGGCAGTGAACTACCTAAGTTGAGACAATACTGAGAGTATGGGGAGATCAAGGAAGCTAGGAAGGTAAAGTTCACAGGACAGAGACATAGAAGAGAACTGCAGAAAAAGAGAACTTTGGAGATCTGCAAAAGGTGCTCTTGAGTATTTAGCTGAATACCATTCAATGCATTCATGTGAGAAAAATATTCATGGTTAGAGAAAAGGATTACTTGTGACAGTGCTTGCCATTCACAAAAGGGCAGTGGTATGGTTTGAATATGTGTCCCTTCCAAATCTCATGTTGAAATGTAGTCTCTAGCGTTGGAGATGGGGTCTGGTGGGAGGTATTTGGGTCATGGAGGAGTATCCCTCATGTATAGCTTATCCTATTCCCTTGGTGATGAATGAGTTCTTGTGAGATCTGGTTTTGTAAGAGTTTGTGGCAGTCCCCTGTCCCCCACTCTCTTGCTCCTGCTCTGGCCATGTGAGACATCAACTTCTCCCTTTGCCTCAACTTCTCCCTTTGCCTTTCACCATAATTGAAAGCTCCCTGAGGCTTTACCAGAAGCCAAGCAAATGCCAACACTATGCTTCTGTAAACCCTGCATGAGCCAGTTAAGCCTCTTTTTTTTTCCTTTCTTTTCAGACAGGGTCTCACTCCTGTCACTCAGGCTGCAATGCAGTGGTGTGATCACGGCTCATTGCAGCCTCAATTTCCCAGGCTCAGGTGATTCTCCCATCTCAGCCTCCTCAGTAGCTGGGACTACAGGTGCATGCCATCATGCCCAGCTAATTTCTTTTGTATTTTTTATAGATACAGGGTTTCACCATGTTGCCCAGGCTAGTTTTGAACTCCTGCACTCGAACAATTCACGTACCTCACCCTCCCAAAGGCCTGGGATTATAGGCTGAGCCACTGCACCCAGCCTAAACCTCTTTTCTTTATAAGTGATCCACTCTCAGATATTTCTTTATGGCAATGCAAGAACAGCCCCTAACGCAGGCAGAAACTGTGCCTGTTTTCACCAGCTTGACTGAAAATTAACAATTCATGAGGGTTTATGTAGCATGCCAGAAGATTTTGGCTCTGGAATTGGAACAATTATCTCCAGATTGAGCACTGCTCTGGCCTCACCTAAAAAAATATTAAAATCAAGACCCCAAAAGATCACATATTTTAGGTAAACTGCACAAAAGCATGAAGTGCAAGAATGTTTACAGAAGTACAAAAATATTCAGCACCAATAAGGTAAAATTCAGAAAGTCTACTATCCAATAAAAAAATTAGCAGTCATGTGCAGAAGCAAGAAAATACAGTCCACAATGAGGGGATAAATCCATCATTTGAAACCTACTCAGACTGGCACAGATGTTGGAGTGAGCAGATAAGGACATTACACAGTTATGACCATAGGTTGTATGTTCTAAAAGGTAAGTAAAGGCATGGAAAGTACAAAAAAAAGATCTAAGTTGAACTTTTGGAAGTGAAAACTACAACATTCAAAATGAAAAATACACTAGATAGGATTAACAGTGGATTAGACATTTCGGGAAAAAAGATGAGCAAACATGAAGACATAGTAATAGAAAGTATCCAAAATGAAACATAGAAAGAAGAGAAAAAAGGACAGAGCATCAGTGAGCTGTAGGATAATTTCAAGTGGTTGAATATATATATGGAATTGGAGTCCTCAAAGATAAGGAGAGGGAAGGGAAGACAGAAAAAAAAACTATTTAAAGAAATAATGGCCAAATATTTTACTAATTTGTTGTAAACCATAACACACAGACCAAAGAATCTCAACAAATTACAGGCACAAGAAATATGAAAAAAAAATTCACCAAGTCATATTTTAATCAAGTTACTCAGAACCAATTTAAAAAATTATAAAAGTAATCAGAAATAAATATTTATGTACAGACGAAGAATGATATGAGTGAGAACACATTTATTGTCAGAGACAATATGTATTCATCTGTTCTCACACTGCTATGAAGAAATATCTGAGACTGGGTAATTTATAAAGAAAAGAGGCTTAATTGATTCACAGTTCCACATAGCTGAGGAGACCTCAGGAAACTTACAATCATGGCAAAAGGCAAAGGAGAAGCAGGCACCTTTGTCAGATCCGGGGGTCTGGGTCTAGCCCATGCTGAAGTATGAGGGAAGTGGGTGGATGGGCAGAAAGAACACTCAGGGGGCCTTAGGCAGGTGAATATGGTTTTATTCAGCAGCAGCTCTCATTAACAACTTTCTCACACTAGCTCTTTATGCTGTCTTCCCTGTCTCAGCTGCTTGAGCTAGTGGCTCCCACATACAGCTGTACAGCCGGCTCTGCCCTGCCTTTCGGGTCAGCAGCTTAACTCTTTCTGTCTCTGGGCACAAGCCAGTCGAGCTATGTCCTAGCTCCCTCCTGTTCATCTGCAAGATGGATAGCTCTGACTCTCTCTTTCTCTGGGCACAAGTGCACCTGCTATGTTGAGCCAAGCCAAGCCCACGAGCCGCTGTATAGCATTAGCAGGGCAATTATACCTTTCACAGGCAATAGTGGCTCAGAGCAAAGTATGAACTTATACAAACAGGTTATATAACAAGTGGAGGTTTGCACCTGTGCACCAAACTTGCTGATTCCTGCAGGCCTGGATATCCGCCTTGGTCTATTCTTCGACCAAAGCACATCCGTGTACCTTACATTCCATCCCCTAGGCCGAGGGAGACATAGGCCTTGGACACACAGGTTTGATACACAGGTTTGGCACACAGGCCTGATATATAAACTTTGGGCATGCAAACCCAATACATACACATAGGCTTGACACATAAGCCTGACCCATAAGCATTGGGCACGCAGGCCCAATGTATATATACAGATTTGACACATACATAAGCTGTGATAAACTGCCCAGCTATTGGCACAGATTACCATCAGTGTTACCTTCTTGGTGATTACCATTTACATTGCTGTGAGTTTAGCTCATTAGCTACTTTGCGTACACTGGTTTTAAACCATATGGTGTCAGTACTAGGCTGGACTGCAACAACAGTCGAGGCAGCAGTAGCACCTTGGCTAGACCCATCTGTATACCATGCCCTATTAGGAATGGGGGGACGCTCTTCCTAATGGTGAAAGCATAGGGTCTAGGGATGCCTTAGGCCCCACAGTCTTATTTTGCATTAGGACTACAGGTCCCAAGACTTTTTGCAACTTTGCTGCTAAGGGACTTGGCATACTTTGCTGCTCCAAGTAGGCACCCCACTTTGCTAAAGTGGATGTCTGTGCCTTCCCTGTCTGGGGGGTTGTTCCCCATGAACACACCCCTCCCGCTACTAGGTAAGTGGCCCATACGATGACTGTAACCCATCCTGACACACTTTTGTGAGCCTAAAGGGCAGCATATGCAGTTACTGTTTTCCCAGTTGAGGGGGTGGTTACCCATGAACACACCCATCCTGCTGTTACTAACTGCTTCTCTACCAAGAAATACTGGAGCTCAGCTCCCTTCCATAGTTGGGACCAAAAGCCTATTGGCATGCTCAGGCACTCCATGTGCTGCTATAAGCCCTAACTGAAACTCATCTGTGGTGACATGCACATCTAGCTTAAATGGGCACCTCTAGTCGACTACCCATTGGGCTTGTGCCTGCTAAATAACCTATGTGCCAGAAAGACTCTCTCAGCCACATCATCCAATCCCAAGCAAGAGTGGTGTTGCCACTTCTAAATCTGCAAGAGAATCAGAGGTGAGCATAACATCATTAATAAGACCGTGATATATGGTGGGGCTATGCATATAGCCCTGCAGCAACACTGTGAATGTCCATCATCGCCCTCCTATGAAGACAAACTGTTCCTGGCTCTCTGGAGCAATGTTTATTGAGAGGAATGCATTGGTCAAGTCCACCACACAGTGGTACTGTCCCAGTTCTGTTGTCAAGCGATTCATCAAATCTGTGATGGAGGGTACAGTTGCATGCAGTGAGGGTGTTATTCAGTTTCCAATAATCCGCTGTCATCCGCCAAGACCCATCAGGCTTTCTGACCGGCCATACCGAGGAATTGTAGGGGCTATGGGTGCCACGCACTATTTGCACCTCTTCTAACTTCTGAATAGTCTCAGTTATATCGGTATGCCTCCCTGGCAAAAGGTATTGACGAGTGGAGGTAACCCATCGGGGTTGTGGCAGAACTTGGGGCTAATGATGTGTATGTCCCCGCAGTACCAGCTTTGCTACATGAACTGGGAGTCTGAATTCTCCGGCCATGGTGTATAAGTCCAGACCATGCAAAATGTTCACCCCCAGAATATATTCAGGTATGGGAGAGACATACACAGTGTACAGGTGGGGGGCCAAGCAGCCAATGCCAAGATGCAGGAACGCAGGTTTCACCTTCACCGACTGGCCACCATAACCGTGAGTGAAAGCAGCTTTGCCCGGAAACTTATCCGGGTTCCCATAAAGAAGACAGCAGTGTGCACCAGTATCTACCAGTGCTAGGACCCACTGTACATTAGTTGGGGACGAGTGGATTACCAGCTCCACATATAGACTAGGGTCATCAGGCGCCCGCTCGGGCCGGGCACCTGGGCCAGTTCCCTAATCAAACAGGAAAGGCCCTGTATCTCCACCTGTCTGCAAATAGTCCTTGAGTTGCAGTGTCCAGGCGGGAGTAGGTTGAACAACATTGTTTTGTCTCTTCTTGGGCATTCTCTGAAATTGTTGCTCCGGGGACAATTGCCTCCACAGAGCCAACAGCATTCCATTGGGTCGCCTGTCAGTTTTCTCCCAAGCAACCCCAGCTGCAATTAAATCCACATCTGCATGAAAGCCACCCACTGGGGCCCCTTTTTATCTCGTGGGGTGGCTACCGGTGGGGGCGGGGCACCTTCCCCTTCTTTATGGCGCGGACTTTCCGGTTCCACCGACCGCCTTCTGCTCCCCAAGGGCTGCCACAGCAGTAGTCATTTCATGTATGCAGCGCCCCACATATGGAGTGAGAACAGCAGCTACAGAGCCAAAAGCACTGGGGGGCGCTGAGCCCAGCACAAGAACCCTCACCTGAGAGGTAAAGCGTTCATTATTTGGCCCCTGGGTTTGCAGATCAAACACAGCCTGCCGCATCTCCCAGAGTATCTGCACCAAATCAGTACACGATTGCCGTTTACTCACAGTTTTTGGTATCTCTCCGGCATTATTCTAAAAAGTCCGTATGGCTGCCATTAGCCACTCAATTAACGTGTGGTCACCTTGCCTTTGTGACAACCGTAGGCGCAGCTGTAGCCGCTGATGAAGGGAGGAGTGAGTTGTGATAGAAGCCAGATTCTCCTTCCTGGAGGAGGCGCAAGAAATGCCATCAGCTCCTTCGGACACTGCCGGCACTGTTTACCTAACTCCCACAACTCAGCAGGGGTATAAGCACAATAAAAGGTGTGTTCAGGCGGGCGCGCATTGGCTCACGCCTGTAATCCCAGCACTTTTGGGAGGCTGAGGCGGGCAGATCACCTGAAGTAAGGAGTTTGAGACCAGCCTGGCCAACGTGGTGAAACCCTGTCTCTAGTAAAAATACAAAAATTAGCCGGGTGTGGTGGCAGGTGCCTGTAATCCCAGCTACTCGGGAGGCTGAGGCAGGAGAATCTCTTGAACCCGGGAGGCAGAGTTTGCAATGAGCCGAGATTGCGCCACTGCACTCCAGCCTGGGTGACAAGAGCAAAGAAGAGATGTGTTCCACCACTTTGCTGGGGCGGGCGGGGGGCGGGGGTCGTCCCTGGGTTCTCCACTGGGGTCCCATCAGCTGCTTATGTTCTACCTTCTGACGGATTACAGGGTGAGCCCACAGTGGTGGAGGAGCCTTCTCCCTGTCAGCATCAGACGGAACGGGAGTCTCCGGCCAGGAGGACAGGCTCAAGGTCGAGCTGACAGCTGTTTCCAACTCCTGCTTCAGGCTGTTTGTCTGAGCCTCCAAGTGCCCTGTTTGCACCTGAAGGTCCCCCACCCCCAGGTCTTGCTCCAAGCTGTGCACTTGGGGCCCCAGGCGTGGGCTTGTGCCGGAAGGTCCCTTATCTGTGGGACTGGGCATGTACTTCCCTCAGTGCAGTCAGAAACGCCCATCTGACTCTGCCATCGAAGGTGCGTTCCTTCTTGGTGCTGTGTGCTTCCAGCTGCTTTAGTGCTTTCTCCACACTCGGGGAAGACCTATCCACTGCCTTCCTCATTTCTACTGGGGCTCATCCAAGCAGCACCTCCGCCACCGGGTACCACAGCCCCCGCTAGTGCCTCATAGCCGACCCAGGAGTCCTCAGGGACTAAACACCCACTCACCTCATCCTGCTGAAGACTCTAAATGTCAGGTCCACGACTACGCCAAATGTCACGCGGGGGACTGTAGGCAGGTGAATATGGTTTTATTCAGCAATAGCTCTCATTAACAGGTTTCTCACACTAGCTCTTTACACTATCCAGCCTGCCTCGGATGCTTGAGCTCGTGGCTCCCACATACAGCTGTGCTTCTGGCTGTCCCCTGCCTTTAGGGTCAGCAGCTTAACTCTTTCTGTCTCTGGGCACTAGTGGGCCAAGCTGTGTCCTGGCTCCCTCCTGTCCATCTCAAGACAGACAGCTCTGACTCTCTCTTTGTCTGGGTGCAAGTGTGCCTATCATGTCAAGCCATGTTGCACTGAGCCAAACCCCAAGAGCCCCTGTAGAGCGTTAACAGGGCAATTATACCTTTTACAGACAATAGTGGCTCAGAGCCAAGTATGAACTTACACAAACAGGTTATATAACAAGTGGAGGTGTGCGCTTGAGCACCAAACTCACCGAGTCATGCAGGCTTGGATATTCACCTCGGCCTATTCGTTGACCAAAGCACATTCATGTACCTACAACCTTCTTCACAGGGCAGCAGGACAGAGTGAGTGCAAGCAGTTGAAATGTCAGATGCTTGTAAAACCATCAGATCTCGTGAAACTCACTATCACGAGAACAGCATGGGAGAAACTGCCCCCATGATCCAATTACTTCCACCTGGTCCCACCCTTAACACATGGGGATTATGGGGATTACAATGCAAGATGAGATTCTGGGTGGGGATACAACCAAACCATATCACATATTCAAAAACTGAATTAATAACCAGCAGATTTACCTCACAAGATAATAGTAGTTAAAGTTTTTTTAGGAAGAAGGAAAATACCAGATGGAAATATTGACCTATCCAAAGGAATGAAGAGCACCAGAAATGGTAACTACATAGATAAACATATAAGGCTTTTTTCTTATTATTCAAACACTAAGGATATTGGAATTCTGAAATGAAATATGTTCAAGCTATGCACCTGCCACCTAATTTTGCCCCAACCCATGGAATCTGAAGGCTACAACCTTCCCAAGAGTTTGAGGAATACATTGAGAGGAATTTCAGCATTCTTTAAGTCCCCTGTACTAGATTTCCTTTACAGGCCAGAAATTACAGTGGGAAATTCTGTCATCAAAAGGCCTCTTTGGCTGTGTGAGGTGGTTCACACCTGTAATCTCAGCACTTTGGGAGGCCGAGGTGGGCTGATTGCTTGAGCCCAGGAGTTCCAGACTGGCCTGGGCAACATGCCAAAACCTGTCTCTAAAAAAAAAAAAAAAAAAAAAGCCAGTCATAGTGGCACTCACCTGTGGTCCCAGCTACTCAGGGGTCTAAAGCAGGAGAATCACCTGAGCCCAGGAGGTCTAGGCTACAGTGAGCCATGATCATGCCTCTGCACTCCAGCCTGAGTGAAAGCACAAGACCCTGTCTCAAAAAAAAAAAAAAAAAAAAGAAGGGGAGGGGAGGGGAGGGGAGGGGAGAGGAGGGGAAGGAAAGGGAAGGGAAGGGAAGGGAGGGAAAAGACCTCTTTGAATCCAGTGGAGAAATTTGATCCTGAAGGGGTAAAGGCCAAGTGGTAGCACTTACTCAACAGACCAGATGGAGGAGGTTATTGTAATTAACACCCAGGCAAAAAAGCAGTACTCAGAGTGGCTGATCCACAAATATACTTGGCATTGGCTAACTGAGTAAGTTGTCCCTTTGACTGATACAGGTAAATGATGAGTGGGCACATGTGGTCCCTGAACTTTTATGGCTATTTTCCAATTCAGGAATGCATAGTTGGAATACATATGCTCAATAACTTGTAGACTACAAATATTGTTTTCCTACACAGTTTATTTTCCTGGTAGGGAAGGACAATGGAAACCCTTAGAACTTCCTCTACTTACCAAAAGACT